>NC_000004.12:156800168-157103199 GCF_000001405.40 Homo sapiens | reverse complement strand
GTCCCTATTGTCCCTACTTCACTTTCTTTTTTTTTTTTTTTTGTTTTTTTGAGACGGAGTCTCTCTCTTTTGCCCAGACTGGAGTGCAGTGGCGTGATCTCAGCTTACCACAACCTTGCCTCCCGGGTTCAAGGGATTCTCCTGTATCAGCCTCCTGAGTAGCCGGGACTACAGGCGTGCATCCCCATGCACAAGTTAGTAGAGACGGGGTTTCACTATGTTGGCCAGGCTGGTCTCAAACTCCTGACCTTGTGATCCACCCGCCTTGGCCTCCCAAAGTGCTGGGATTACAGGCATGAGCCACTGCCCCCAGCCCCTACTTCACCTTTTGACATAGAGAACCTAATTGTAACACATTTAAATGCCAAGTCTCCGCCCCAAGGTGAACATGGGATACATGTAACATGTTTGCTTGCATACAACCTCCTTTCATGAATATTCAGAGTTCCTCCCACAGCCTGCTGAATATATATACTTGGCCAACCTGTTCAGCATAAATTCCTGTCTCGATTTTCCCTCCATCAAAAGTACTTGCTTTTATTTTTTTTAAGCTGGAGGCTGTGCTTCCTGCCTGAAGATTGTAATCTCCTTCTTAAAATAAAGGTCTCCTTTCTAAATTTATATATTGTGTAATTTTTAAGTTTATAATAGAAGAAAATATTATTTAGCCTTTAAAAAGAAGGAAATCTTACTGTATGCAACAAGACAGATAAACCCCGAGGACATAATGTTAAATGAAATAAGCCAATCACAGAACGACAAATACCATATGATTCTAATTATATAAGGTACCTAAAAGTCAAACCTATAGAAGCGGAGAGCAGAATGGTGGTTTGCAGAGGCTGGGGGTAGGGAAAATGGGGAGTTGCCATTGAAGAGGTATAATGTTTTAATTATACAAGATGAATAAATTCTAGATATGTGCCTATAGTTAACAGTACTGTATTGTACAATTTAAAAATCTGTTAAGAAAGCAGAACTCATATTAAGTGTTCTTGCCATAATAAAATTTAAAATAAAACAACCTCTAGTGATAATCCTCCCAAAACAATCCACACTGTATGTATACATACAACATGATGACTTTTTGAGCTATTGCTCAATTTAGCACAGAAAAAAATCCATTAAAAATTAGTTGGCACCTTTTTACTGAACCAATTGGGTTATTATTATTTGAACTGTTTGCATAGCTATTACTTGAAAACACAATTTAAATTCTTGGCTTTCTGCTAAGGAGAATCTGGCACATGACACGATAAAAAGTGAATAGTACCAGGATGAAATGTCAATGAATGTAGTTCTAAATATTTCAACTTTAAAAATTAATAAAATACATCTAGTTTTTTAACAACCGCCCCCACCCAACCCCAAACCCTCCCCCCCACCAAAAAAAAAAAAAAAACAAGTTTGACTCTATGGACTCTAGAAAAGGAGAAAGACAGAGTGAAAACTAGAGATGGGTGTAGGGTTAAGAAATGTGTTGGCATTTCTCTTTTTAATAGACTGTAATAGAAAACCTAAGTATACTACAGAAGATGCAGTTGAAGGAAAAACTCGAAAAAGTTAACCCCAATTTCAGGTCCCCCCTCACCACAAAACAGTAGGCAATGAGATCTAAATCTCATCCGAATTAGTCTTAGATGAAACAAAGGAGAACTTTCTCATTGTAAGGAGGGGAGAAGTGGAGTGAAATGGCAATATAGGGGAGATTGCGTGTCTGTTAGTGGAAGATTGAGTCATAGATTAAGTTTCCTCCTTAAAAGTTTCAAGTTAAAAACTGAGAACAATGTTCTTATGTATCTGCCAGAAAATAAGAGGTCTTGCATGAACACCTAGAAGATAAAATATGGAATATACTACATTGTATTTTAGAACAATTCAGAACATTATAGGTCACCAAAAATATATTATTTATATTTTATGTTATATATTAATGTGGCTGCTTTTAAAATTTATTTTAAATATATTATGATACAGTATTCAGTACTGTTAGTAAATGATTAATACCATGAATGATTAATATCATCTATCACCTGTAATTTTCTGCATTTTTCTAACACTGCTTTTGGGGGAAAATGTTCTTTGAATGCAAATTTTCAAGTGTTGAAATTATTTGTCCCTTGTAGAATTCATACTTAGAACTACACAGTCTGAAGACTGCCACATGTAGATACCTTCATTCATTCAATAAATGTTTAGTAAGTGTCTACTACCACCAGGCATTTCTCTCAGCCCAGGAAAAATACTGGCAAACAAAACCCACAAAAACAGTTGACCTCATGGAATTCAACCCCAAATTCATAACAGTAATTGGCCACAGGGTGGGCACCAAAAATTTCCTAGTTCTCATTTTTCAAAGTGTACTATTCAGTGTCATAGTTTGTATTTGCTAAGGTTCATATAACCAAAATCCCAGATCTAGCCACATTTATGAAAAGGTGATTATTCCAAGCTGAAAGTAAATGTCTACATTCCCAACTGGTTTCTGTTTGCTTTGCCTCCATGTTTTTTTTTAATTTAATGTTTGAATACAAATTAGAAATAATTGAGTCCATACTATGTCAGTGAAAGCCCCAGCATTTTACCTCTGTGTGTATTAAAATGGAAAAGCTAACTCTAAAATATACATCAAAATGCAAAGGACTTAAAATAGCCAAGAAAATACTAGAGAAGAACAAGACTAGAACAGGATATACCCTACTAGGCATTCAGCCTTAGTAATAGGGGAGTGTGTTACTGGCACAAGACTAAACTAATATACCAGTGAGGCAGAAAAGAGAAGCAAATAATTGATTTACAATAAAGACATAACTGCAATTTACTAGTAATGTACAGGATTTTTCAATAAATGTGCTGTATTAATTGGATATGCCTATTTTAAAAATGAGTCTTAACACTATCCCATATCATATAGAAAAGCAAGTTGAAATGGATTACAGATCTAAATGTGAAATATAAAGTAATAAAGCAAAAATAATCAAAATAAACTGATGTTCATTACCTTGAAGTAGAGAAAGATTTCTTGAGACAAAAGAATTAAAAATGAGTAACAAATCAGATTTTATTAAAAATAAATTCTTCAATTCATCAAAACATACTGTTAAGAAAGTTAAAATGCATAAAAAGAATGGAAATTTGTAGTGTCTATATCTGACAAATGATTTGTTCTAGAATATATAAAGAACGCCTACATGTTAATAAGAAAATCAACATTTTTTAAAGTAGGCAAACACTTGAAAAGTCATTTTGAAAAATAAGTTTACAGGCGAAAAGGTGCTCAATAACATCAATCATCAAGGAAATGCAAATTAAAACTACACTGAGATAACATTATACTCACAGAAGATGGTTAAAATTAAAATGATTACCAATAATATCAAGTTATTATGTGGAAGTGGAACAACTGAGACTCGATGATGGGAGTATAATTTGAAAACTGTCCATATCTTCTAAAGTTCAACAAACATATATCCTATGATACAAAAAATTTTACTCTTGGATATGTGCCCAACAGATATGAATGTTTATGTCCAACAAAATACATGTATAAAAATGTTCATAACAGGCTGGGCAAAGTGGCTCACATCTGTAATCCCAGCACTTCGGGAGGCCAAGGCGGGCAGATCACTTGAGGTCAGGAGTTCCAGACAGCCTGGCCAACATGGTGAAACCCCGTCTCTACTGAAAATACAAAAATTAGCCAGGTGTGGTGACACATGCCTGTGATCCCAGCTACTCGTGAGGCTGAGGCAGGAGAATCACTTGAACCCAGGAAGCAGAAGTTGCAGTGAGCTGAGATTGTTTCACTGTACTCCAGCCTGGGTGACAGTGAGACTTTGTCTCGAAAAAAAAAAAAAAAGTTAATAACACCTTCAGTCATAATGACCCCAGACTGAAAACATTATGAATATTCAATAGTAACAGCTGAACTTCACCTGAACTCCTAGAATACTGAATGGTTAAAAACTAACTCCAGTCTTCATGTTACAGGAAGCACCTTACTGTAAATAACTACCCTGCCCCATATGACCTAGACAAGACCCCTGGATGACCCTCTTGCTTGCCTATGATAAGACCAGACACAGACCTTCCAAACGTCCCTTCTTTGTCTCATAAACGAGTAGCTGAGCTGTTTGTCCTCACTGATCAATCTGAACTAAATGTTCACTAACTCAACTTGACCAAACTTTAGTTAGGTTTCTCCCTTCCCTACATGTCCCTCAATTTTCTCCTGCCCCTGAGGTTAAGCAGTCACCGGAAGGCATTCTCCTTTTATGAAAAAAGTGATTTTCAGCCAGGCACGGTAGCTCATGCCTGTAATCCCAGCACTTTGGGAGGCCAAGGCAGGTGGATTGCCTGAGGTCAGGAGTTCGAGGCCAGTCTGGCCAACATGGTGAAACCCCGTCTCTATTAAAAATACAAAAAAAATTAGCCAGCATGGTGGTGCATGCCTGTAATCCCAGCTGCTTGGGAGGCTGAGGCAGGGGAATTGCTTGAACCAGGGAGGTGGAGGTTGCTGAGCCGAGATCATGCCACTGCCCTCCAGCCTGGGTGACAGAGCGAGACTCCATCTCAAAAAAAAAGAAAAGAAAAGAAGAGAAAAAAGTGATTTTCTAGGATTATCATCCTTGTTTGCAAAGGGCTAACTCTCCTTAATGGCCCCTCCTAAGAATCAGCTTATAGCAAAGAAAAACTGTCTCATCATGGTACCTGCTCATCCCACTCCCCAGCAGCTGGTTCCTTCCAGACTCATTTATTGCTATAAAAGAGAAGCCCTTTCTGACCTTGGAGAGGCTAATAGATCTTACAATCAGAGCATTCTCCCTATTGCAAAAGTCTTTTCAAATAATGTCTCCTTACCTAAGTTTGGATTTGTCTTTTCATTTGACAGTAAAATCGATAAATATAGTATAATATATTCATAACAATTAAATAGTACACAGCAATGAAAAGGGAGGAACTACTCCTATACCAACAAGCATGGATGAAATCTCACAGATATGATATTGAAGAAAGGAATCTAGATACAAAAGAGTATAAATTGTTATTACTCCATTTATATTATGGTCAAGAAGAGGCAAGACCAATCTAAGGCAATAAAAATGAGAACAGTAATTAACACTTGGAAGGAGGTATTGACTAGGATAGGGCATATGGGAAATTTCATTTTTTTTTTTTGAGACAAAGTCTCACTCTTGTCCCCCAGGCTGGAAAGCAGTGGCAGGATCTCGGCTCACTGCAACCTCCGCCTCCCAGGTTCAAGAGATTCTCCTGCCTCAGCCTCCCAAGGAGCTGGGATTACAGGCACCTGCCATGATGCCTGGCTAATTTTTGTATTTTTAGTAGAGACGGGGTTTCACCATTGTGGCCAGGCTGGTCTCGAACTCCTGACCTCAGGCAATTCACCCGCCTCAGCCTCCCAAAGTGCTGGGATTACGGGCGTGAGCCAGTGTGCCCGGCTGGGAAATTTCTTGACTACTAGAAATGCTCTATTTGTTTGTCTGGGTGGTGGATTCATGAGCTGTATGTAAAAAGTCATTAACCATACCATTAAGATTTATATATTTTGCTGAATGTTGGAACTCAACTTTTTTAAAACATGGAAAAAATTAGGTGGACAAATTTGGGTGCCCTAATACATAGCCCATCAAAGCCTTCCATTAACTCAAGCAATAGAAACAAATTTTGTAATTTATAAGCAAACATTTGTTCTATACTTGTATCTCTCATACTTAAAATTGCAAGAATAATAGTTCAATTCTTAGGCTGGGGAGTTAATACATAGGTGTTTATTATCATTCTCGAAAATCACTTCTTCATAAAACATCTGTTTTCAGATTTAAATTAGGCGATAAAAGTAACGAACATAGAGTGGCATCTAACACTTTGTGTGATAACCAATTCACAGTAACCTATTTTATGCCACATGTAGAGAAAGAGAAATCAATGTTACAAAAGTATTAATAAGAAAACTAGTCAGAAAAAATCTAATGGAGTCCAAACCAGTTGAAAATTATCAATATATGATTTGGCTAAGCAAATACACACAATATCTCGATTTCTTATATATATCCACACACTATAAATTCATCTATCTTATTTTCCAAATCATTACTCTAATTTTAATGCTCTAGAAATTTATGGCACCAAGTCAATGAAAGGAGGGCAGTTTATTGCTACTACAAACTAAAACTTAAAACCAAGGAATTAAGCAAAGAAAAGTCAGAGCAGAAATTGAGAACTGAAACAAATAATTTAAGCATCACAGCTCCTTGAGTAAATTACCTCAAAGCACACTACAATGCCTTGGGATAACAAAGTTTTTGCTATTGTCAGGAAACTTAATAAACTGAGTGAAAAGACTTCAAAGGCCACCCCTGCTATGTAACCTGTTTCTGCTTTAACTACTTTCTGCAGCTTCTCTTTATATAATATCTTATGTGTAAAATGAGTTGTAATACAGAGACAAGAAGACTATCTCTGTTGAATTTGAATGATATCTTCATTGAAATATTCACAGGCCAACACATCTGAACAATGGTATGTGTCCTGGGCACAGATCCCACTCAGGCTATAGGAGGCAACAAACATGAATGCTATTCTGAGGGATAAACTGCCACCTCGTAATATAAATGTGGTGGCATCTGGATATTGAAAGATAAGCCCTTCTTGTCCCTCTTGACCATTGTTTGGAAACCAATGTAACTTTTTATTGAATAAGCTAGAATCTGCAGGCCTCAATTATAAAGAAATTCTATGTTTTCCCACAACATTTATCCAAACTGGCTCTGTGAGATAAGACTATCCAATATACCTGGATGAAATCTCCAGCAAATCTCATAACATTTTCTGTCACTCTCAGATAATAAAAAGTACCCCCTGGCACTTTCAGTCTCACTAAAATTAGCACTTCCTTAAGTAAGATGTCCAACAATCAAAATCTGAGCTTGATTTAAAAATGATATCCTCTCCTTTCCTAGCCAGGCCTTCCCCAGACAGGGAAGCCTGCCGAGGAATGGGGGTGTGATTGGCTTTTGCACTGTTCCCCTGCCTGGCTAGCTTATAATATCCTTGTGGTTTTCTCAAAATCCCCTCTTTGAGCTCCTCTAATTTCAATTCCCAGGAAAGGACTGTGACTTTTCTCCAACTGGCCACTCCCAATTCCAGCCATCAGCCCCAGACATTCTGCAGTCCACACTGTGGGCTTCCACTACCCACTTAGGCCCTTTTAGGCAAAGTTCCTATGTTGTGAGCTCCAAGCCAGTGCTTCCACTTGTCCTTGCCCTCATGCTGTCTGGTGGTCTCTTGTGTGACCACATCTGAGGCACAGTAAATATTCGAGCATGACTTTTCCTCCTCAGACAGAAACCACTCCCATTCCAAGGCAGCCCTCTCTGATCTGATCTATTTGCTCTACCCTACAGTCACAGCCGGCTTTTACTTCTCCAGTATGAGTTCATATCAGTCCACAGAGAGCCCTCAATATGCAAGAGACAGACATGATCCTAGCTTTATGTCTTTTTAAAAAAAGTTTTTGTAGAGATAGGGTTTCACCATGTCCTCATTCTCCTTCACCTGTTCTTCCATTTCTTCAACCTCATTCCCAGTCACTTCTCAGATATCTTTACTTTTCTAGCTAAGTCACTTTTTAAGTGACCTCATCTAGTTTCATAATTTACAACTCTTTAAATGTATACCTCCAGCCTAGACTATTCCCTGGAATTTCTGACTCTATGTTCAACAGCTTATTGGATATTTTCTCCTGATGTCTAATGGATACCTCAAACTTAACACATCCAGAACTAAACTCTTGTTTTCCCCTCATTTCCTATCTACTCTTCCTGTAGTTTTTAACAGATATCTCAGTAAATAAAAACCTTTTTTTTTTTTTTTTGCTCAGGCACAAAACGTGGGAATCACTCTTATGATGACCTACCAAGGCACATATTATTCAGCCATTACAACCTTTCTGACCTCATATCTATCACTCTTTCCATAGTTCACCCTCTTCCTAGTCTACGTGCTGTGGTTTGAACACATAAAGCCTGCCATAGAAATTTTGTATTTGACACCTGTTTCCCTGAAATACTACTCCTCTATAAATCTCCATGGCCTTCCTGTAGCCAACTCAATGTAGATCAGCACGACCAAAGTTCTAGTTCTCCAATCTATGTGGTGCTGAATATTATTTTAGTGTGAAAATTTTTGACTCTTTTGAATCAATAAAGCACTTCTAAGTGTGACAAAATAAATATATTTTATAATTACAGATAGTGCTTCTGTAAACATTCTTGTACGTATTTTTTTGGTAAACATGTACACATTTCTGTTGAGTACTGTATACACTAGAAATAGAATGGCTGGTTCATAGAGTATATGGATTTTCAGTTTTAGCGGATGCTTACAAATGGTTTACCAAATGCTTATGCCATTTTGAACTTTCACTAACAGGATTTGAGCATTGTGGTTCTTCACATTCTCTTCTTCTTTCATTTAGCCATTCTGGTGGGTGTGTATTGGTATACCATCATGATTTTAATCTGCACTCCCTTGATGACAAATGAAGTTGACCACTTTTACAAATTTTTGTTGGCCTTTAGGCTACCCTCTTTTGGCCTTTAGGCTACTCTCTTTTCAATTAGGTTGTCTGCTTTTTTCTTAATAATGCCTAAAAGTTATTTGTATATTCTCAACAACTTTTTATTGGTATGTGTGTATAGGTGTATTTGGAAACAACCCAAATGTTTATGAAGAGCAAAACAGAAAAATAAACTGCAGTGATTCATATAATGGAATACTAGGCAGCAAGACAATGAATGAACTGATGTTACATATAACACTGTGAATGAATCTTACAGAGTTAGTGAGCAAAAGAAGCAGTTACAAAAGATATATACTGGATTATTCTACTTACATGCAGTTTGAAACTAGGCAAAATTAATTTACTGAATGGTAATCACTGGAGTTGGCAATGAGTAATTTGGAAAGAAAGTGATGTCTAATGTTTTGGACATGTTCTGTTTCTAGATCCGTGTGCTGGTTACCAAGGTGAACATTTATTAAAGCTTATGATTGGTGCACTTTTCTATATGCATATTATACATACTTCAAAAAGGTTTAAAAATAAATGCCCAAAAAAACTTGTGCTTAATTATTTGTGTGTCACATATACAGAGAGCAAACACATGCATAGACAGATTGAGGCAGAAAGACAGAGAGAGATTGCATAAAGCAATTAAAATATGATATTATAATCTTTGATCAGTTAAAACTAAGTCTCTATGTAATATTCTATATGAGAAAGTAAATGCCTGTATCTAAATTTTTCACGGTGGTTTAAAAGATAACTCACTTTTCTCTCTCTGAAGAACTACTCTATTGCTTTTTATCCCTTGAAAGCAGAGCCAAGGGGAACCATGTATTTTTTTTTTTTTTTTTTTTTTTTGAGATGGAGTCTCGCTCTGTCGCCCAGCCTGGAGTGCAGTGGCACGATCTCAGCTCACTGCAACCTCCGCCTCCCGGGTTCAAGCGATTCTTCTGCCTCAGCCTCCCAAGTAGCTGGGACTAAAGGCATGTGCCACCACGCCTAGCTGATTTTTGTATTTTTAGTAGAGACAGGGTTTCAGCATGTTGGCCAGGATGGTCTCGATCTCTTGACCTCGTGATCTCTTGATCTCGTGATCAGCCCACCTCAGCCTCCCAAAGTGCTGGGATTACAGGTGTGAGTCACTGCGCCTGGCCAGAACTATATATTTTATACTTCGCTTCTTTTTAGCCAAGTGTTTGTGATCTTATTAGATGAATACATATGCATACATACAGCATGGAAAGGAAATAAATCATATATTGTCTCCTGACTACAGTAGCTTAGGAATGGTTTCTTATTTACAAAATGTCCATTGACAGCTAACATCCAAATTATATACTATTAATCAAACTAAGGACTAGTTTTTAGGTGGTGGAACACACATCTATGAAAGGGAAGATTGTCAGATTGTGTGCTCAGAAAGTAGCATTCTATTATTTAGAAAGAACTTTAATAAACTTTAAATGTATGTAAAAGACCATAAGTAAACCCAATATGTTGCTTGAAAATGGCAAAGATATTCAAAGGCTAAGTGACAATCAAGAAGAAAAATGTGTTCCCACTGGAGAGGGTAATGACTAAACATAAATATAGTGGCAAGAACATTAATGAAAAAACTTGGAATGGGAAGCAGAAGACCGAAGTTTAACTGCCAAATCTGCCACTAGCTAGCGGTAGGCCATTAGGAAAGCCATTTTACTACCTTTTGTGACTACTGTTTTCGAGACTTCCAAATAAACAAGGAGGACTCTGATAGGTACAGTACAACTAAAGAGTTAGCTTCAAACAACCACCTGACTACTACTGACTGACTTTATGACCTTAAGAAAGCTATACAAACACTCTCCACATCCTACGTTCTTTATATATGAACGCTGAATGATGCTGCTTGCAGTACAGATTCATTGTGAAAAGTCGATGGCCTCCCATGTGACAAGCATCTGGCACTAACTCTCACATAAAGAAGTCATGCCACAGATGTTTTACCTATCCCAGACCTAACACTCTGAGTTTATGAGGAAAGCTATGTGTAATAAGGTGACCCAGATATTTTCCCCATAATTAGGTGTTCTATATTTAACTATTAGCTTAACTAATGGTCAAAAAAATAAAAACGAGACCAAGAGTAATAGTAAACATGCAAAACCACTTTGAACTCTTTAAAGAGGTTCTACTATCACAAACATAGGTAATCCAACTTGTAGAATATTACAGTTAGAAAATAATTTTACATATAATTCCAAATTATACTATCAGAGAAGCTGTGTGAATAGGTACAGATTCTTATTTCTGTTTTACAGATAAAGTCTTAGAGAAGCAAACTGATTGCTTATTCTAGGTCACAAATGTATTAAGTGATCTATTCTAAAGTAGAACCTATCTCTTTTTACTCAAAAATACCATTTCCATCTATTAAAAACCCCAGAATAAACTTTTATCTCAATTACCCTAAGAAATCACATTGTTAATGATTTTATCTTAAAGATCAGGACACTTATCCCAAAAAGAATTATCTGAGGATGCACTATTGGTCAGTAACAGTCAGCTAGAACACAAATCTCCTGAATTTTCAGTCCAATATTTTCTCCTCCATATTAATTCAACCAATTTCACCTTAAATTTATCATCATTGATTTTTTGTAGCATTTGATTTTGTATAGTGTTAATGGCAGGGAGTTCATAGAGTAGTTGACTTAGCTGGGACTAGAAGGATAAGGAGGGATGTAACAGATTAAGGGGGAAAGGACAGGACAAACCCTAGGAAGAAGTTAAAGAATAGACAACAGAATAGTGTCACGAAGAGATCAGGCTGCCCAGGAACACCAAGAAGTGCAGCATGGCAGGAGAAGATACTGGAAGTGCAGAGCAGAATTGAAAAGAGAAAAGGTGGGTCACAAGCAACGAAGTAAGTGATTGGATATACACTGAGCATCACTCACGTTGACACTATAGAGTAACAGCCCTCAAAGTGTGGTCCACAGCCACAGGCTCCTGAAGGTACCCAAAACACTTGCAGGGGGTCTGTGGACAACACTTTGAGGAGTGTTACCCAGTGTTACACATTCTGTTACTGTCCACAGAGTCAAAACTATTTTTATCATAGTAATAATAAAATGTTA
Source organism: Homo sapiens (assembly GCF_000001405.40). NCBI lineage: Eukaryota > Metazoa > Chordata > Mammalia > Primates > Hominidae > Homo > Homo sapiens. Next base: position 157,091,493 of record NC_000004.12, on the reverse strand, counting down.
TTTACTTTTTTCCACTATGTTGACATTTGCACTGATGGTACCAAAGCAATGGTGGGAAAAACTGTTGGTGTTTTAGCACAAATCAAGAAAATAATACTTAAATGTACTCACAGCCATTGCATTCTTCAACATCATATAGTAGCAGAAAGAAAAAACAAGAATTTTAAAAGACAGTTTCCTAAGCAATGTTCCTTAAGAATTAATAAAAAATATTAATTTTATTAAATGTTGAAACTTAACATCTTTTTAATGTTGTATGACAAAATGGAGAGTACCCATAAATCATTGTGCTGCACGCCAAACTATTATAATCGTTTCAAAAACATTACCTGAAAATTACAAGTGTAGTTATATGTAGAGATAGAGTGATTGTTTGACTTACTAGACAGACTGAACTTAATAGATTTAATAGATAGATTGAACTATCTATTAATAGTTCCATGAAAAGCCATTTTCATGCAACACCATAGAAAAACTGTGGTAATTCAGATTTGAATATTTAGGAAAATATTTTTCAAAAGTGAATGAAGAGAACCTGTAACTTTGAGAAACACTACTCTATTTGTTGCCAGTGATAAAATATGAACTTCCAAACAAAAATTGGAATCTTAAAATTAATATTAGCCACCATGAGTTTGACAGCTTTCCAACACTCACAGACATTCCAATGAGATCATAAGTGATATTAGATAGATATGATTTTTTTGATGTTGTATAATAAAATATGTCAACATTTGGAAAAAATGCAAAACCCAGAGAATCAGTATTTTCCAAATGATGTTATAAAATCAATCACAATTGGACAAAAGAACCACTCAAAGTGCAAGACAGACTAGTTGATTTTACTGCAACAGAGGACAAAATGTTCAATGATCTGATTTCAGATTTCACATTGCACCTCTCTTGTAAGAAACTAGCACTGGTTAAATTTTGGCATGACATTAAAGAAGAATCTTCACAGTTACAAGGCCATTAAAATACTCTTCCCTTTTTCAATTTTATGTCTGCATGAAGTCATAATGTCTTCACGTACTTCAACCAAAACAATATATCACAACAAACTGAATGCAGAAGCAGATAAGAGAATCCTGCTGTCTTCCATTAAACCAGCCATTAAACTGATTTGCTACCGTTAAACAATGCCCCACTTTTCATTAATTTTTTTCTTTTTGAAAATGTAGTTTTCATAAAAATAAGTTATTCATGTTAATATCCGTACAGTTATTTTAAGTGATTTAATCTTTTAAATTTCTGTTTCAATTTGTAATAAGGTAATTTCAATAGTATAAGCCACATAAACTAAAGCTCTTTGTGTCCCTAAACATGCTCTAGGTTGTAGAGGGGACCTTAGACCAACAATTTGAGATCCACTGTTGTAGAGGATGAGCAAAGTAGAGAGGACAGGATCAGGTTCAGGAATCTAGGAAAGTACTGCAATAACAGATTCAAGGTGACATGACTATGGCCTGACAGAGACCATAAAAGCAGAGATGAGGAGAAGTAGCTAGATGCAATAATCATTTCTAAACCATCAACAGAATGAGTAATTGATGAGATGATGAAAGTGAAAGGGCATGAAGGATTTGAAGATGCTTTTGTCATTTCTCATGAAAGGCTGGGTGTAGAGCTGGGGAATACAGATAGGAAAGCCAGTTTAATATGTTGGGTATGTTAATTTTGAGGTCCAGTAGGAAGCTGAAAATAATTACTTGGAAATCAAGAGTGAAGTTACATATAGAGATAAAGATATAGAAGCAATCATAGATACCAATAGATATTACCCAGGGGAAAATTGATAAGCAAGAAGCTAAAAGAACTAAGGATGAATATCTGGAAAACTCAATATGTCAGGAAGGACAATAAGAAATAGCCAATGAAGGTGGTTAATCAGCTGTAGTCAGAGAGGTGGCTAAAAAGAGCCAGGAGTGAGTAAATTTCAGGAAGCCACATGTGGGATGGGTGAAATCGGAGATTGTTTCCGTTTACAGAAGATAGCTAGCCCTTACTGAGTAATAACAAGGACCTAAAATAAAGTCACTATATTTGTTTTAAAATAATAAAATTCGTATCTTCATTTACTTATTTCTTTGAAACAGGGTCTCCCTCTGTCGCCCAGGCTGGAGTGCAGTAGCATGATCGCAATAATGGCTCACTGCAACCTTGTCCTCCTGGACTCAGGTGATTCTCCCACCTCAGCCTCCCAAGCAGCTGGGATTACAGGTGTGTCCCCCCTCCCCCATGCTTGGCTAATTTTTTTTTAATGTTTTGTAGAGACAAGGTCTCACTATGTTGCCCATGCTTGTCCCGAACTCCTGGGCTCAAGTGATCCTCCCACTTTGGCTTCCTGAAGTATTGAGATTACAAGGGTGAGCCATGGCACCCAGCCGAAATCTTTATTAAAAGTAGAATTGTGTCAGGAGTCAGTCTTAATAGAATGATTAAGTGGTACATATTGTTTCATTTGTTGTAATAATGTTGCACATCTTTTGTAATTTAAGGAAATTCAAGGTAAGTGAAGAAAAGAACTAGTGAATTAGAGCTCAAAAAGTATAGGCCATTTTATCCTACTAGTTGAAGAAACATAGTAATTAACAAAGGGGAAAACCACAGTTAATAAAATAGGAATATAAAAACTATATACATTTTTCCAGGTGGGTGACCCTTTAATATGTTTGTAAGCACTTAGGAAAAAAAGAGCCAAAGAAACGAAGAAAATTTAAAACATAGGGGAGCAAAGTAAGCTAAAAGGTACATCTCAGAAGACAGTGGGGAGATGGGATCCTAAAAAAGTTCTTTTTTTGCTAAATCAAGAGAAAAGGAGAAAAGGAAGGATGATGCCTCAGGTAGCTTTAGAATGAAAATCAAGAAAGACCGAGGGGATTCCCATCCAAGGACTTGTATTCTTTTCCTTTAAAATAAAAGTTAAAATGTTATGCTAACACTGAAAGGAACAAGATAAAAGACAGAAACAATGTGGAGAGAGAAATTTAGAGCCTCTGAGGGGTAAGGAAAAGAATTTGGAACCAAAATGAAGACTTAGCCAAGACTAGATCAAAATAAATCAACCAAGATTCTAGATCACTGAAAACATCTACATTTGTACCATTAAGTCGAAAATATTATAGAGATTCCAGACACATACAAGTAGAATGTATAGAGAATATTAAAGAATGTTGCAATAAGACCTTTAGATTATTTTGTCAGCCATGCCCATGGTATCACTGAGAGTTAAACATGATATAAAGAACACCACACATCCACTCATTAATAGGTAAGCCTTTTGTATTAGGTTATTCTCAGCAATCAGCCCAGGAGCAGTAAACTCCTACTATTGTTTTCTTATACGAAGAGTAATAAATGTCAGATGTTTCAAGGTATCCAACATATTTTATTAGCAATTTAATAAGTGCTTCACTGTTATTCCAATCAGAGCCCTAAAAATATTATTTCATATTTACATCATTTCTCAGAGGAACCATTTGTATGTACATAAATTTGAATAATTGGCTTCATGAATTCTAAGTGTAAACTTCCATAAAATACCCATGGTAAAGGAATTCATTTATAAAGGGACCTCAGCTCTCTTTAGCAGAGCAATGATATGTCTATTTCAGGTAGAAGCATAAGGAAAATATAGGAGACTTTTGCAAATATACCTTTTTTTACTGTATTACAGAAATTATTTGCCTCCACAAGAAAAAAAAAAGGATACATTTCAGTAAGTCGAATTCCTTAATCTGTGAAAATTTGGTAGGCTAAGAATGCAGACAATTCACCTTCCTCATACCTTACTCTTCTACTTTGGAGTTCAGTTAAATACCTATGTTTTGATAAATCAACTCTGGAATTAGATTTCCTTTGGAGTTAACTTCCCCAAGAAATAGAATTTTGTGTATTCTTTTTCCACTGGTCAGGCTTGAATGGTTAAAAATTGGGGAACAAAAAGCACCAACAAAACACTAAAATAGTTAACCCTGATTATAAAGTTACCAAAGCAATCGTAAACAAAACCGCATTGTATCATAAAAGATATGGCTGCCATAAATTAATGAATGAATAAAATTAGGAGATTATTGAGATCAAACTTTTCACTATACAAATGAGAAAACTGAGACTCAGATAGATTAAGTGACTTATTGAAAGTTATACAGCCAATTAGCAAAAGTGCTAAAGGAGATACAGTGGTGTTCTTTCTGCTATCTTATTATACAAGGTCTTTGCCATCATGATTTAGTAGACGTACAAAGTAAATTTTAAACAATATATGTTTTATCTCTAAACATCTAAATACAGTCCCAGTGAACCACTATCCCATCAAAAAATTAATTTAGGATTTGTCTATATCATCAGCTATCCATTTAATTTTCTTTGAACTAGCAAGCATAAATGGAGCTCTTATGCAAACAATTTTGAAGTAGGGCAGGATATAAAAGTATATATAACCATTTCATCTCAAGTACTTAAAATGTAGTTAGAGAGTTAAAACTACACAATAGAGTCCAACTAGAAAATAAAAGACATCACTGCATAAAGAACTAATTCTAATCAAGTGTCAAAACATCAAGTATGCACAAAAGGGATTCTGAAATATCAAGAACAGGGAGTTTAATTTCAGTTTTAATCATAGGCCCATGAGATCTTGGGCATAAAAAGAAGTTCTAAATACTTTTAACTTCCCATTGATGTTATTTGGGTCGTGTCCCTACCCAAGCTATGTTCAGTCACTCCAGCAACAAAGAAGCTCCTAAGGAAACCCATTTTCTCTTTTGACAGTTCTATATTTTCCTTTAATTGAACTTATCTTCCTCTGTTTCTCTCTTTGGTCTTAATTCGATAACTTGGAGTCATACAAAGAAAGTCTAGTTATTTTATATGACAACATCTCAAATAGAAGGTAATTTCTATTCTTCAGAGAAAATAATGCACAATAGAATTAATCGAACAACACAACAGACTTTCACATTCGTGTAAATACCGATCAAGATTCTCCAAACAAACTCACATGTAATTCTAACTCTCATAAATTATGGCAACCAGAATTCAACATAATGCTTCAGGTAATATACTCACCATGAGATTAATACTTTTTTATTTCTAAACATTGTATTTCTATCAATATCCAAGACATCAAAGCATTAGTAAGCCACACCACTATTAATTCAGATTAATCATATTCTCAACTAAAACTTATTTTAAATGTTTTATAAAGCAAAGTAATATCTAAGATGAGCTCTGAGGGACTAGTAAAGCCTAGATATATTAAGCAAGAAGTTGTCATTCCAAACATAAACATGTCCAAGCATACATAATAGCAAGGGAAGATTAGGAACAACGGCAGATAAGCCTTCCCAAAATAGGCGAGTAGGCTTGGGTATGGCTGATACCTGTAACGCGAAGTCTTTGGGAGAACAAGGCGGGAGGACCACTTGACACCAGGAGTTTGAGGTTGCAATGAGCTATGATCACACCACTGAACTCCAGCCTGGGCAACAGAGTAAGATCCTGTCTCTAAAAACATACATTCATATATACATACCTACACACATAATATAAGAGAGTTGTTTCACATAAATTTAGAAATATAAGTTAGGGAGCCCCTTGAAAATCAAGGTAAGAAGTATGTACTGGAGTTCAAGAACCATCTGGTAGTACGATATTGTAAGTTTTTAAACATAAGAATAACAACATGAAAATACAGGCCAGGCACGGTGGCTCACGCCTGTAATTCCAACACTTTGGGAGGCCGAGGTGGGTGGATCACGAGGTCAGGAGATCGAGACCATCCTGGCTAACACAGTGAAACCCCATCTCTACTGAAAACACAAAAAAATTGGCAGGGTGTGGTGGCACGCACCTGTAGTCCCAGCTACTCGGGAGGCTGAGGCAGGAGAATCACTTGAACCCAGGAGGCGGAGGTTGCAGTGAGGCGAGATCATGCCATTGCACTCCAGCCTGGCTAACAGAGTGAGATTCCATCTCCAAAAAAAAGATGAAAATACAGATGGCATGTTAAGATGGATAATAATGATAGAAAAGCTAGGGTGAATAACTAGGAAGATATAGTAACACATACGTTAAAAATAATGGTGGCTGGGCATGGTGGCTCATGCCTGGAATCTCTGTACTTTAGGAGGCCAAGGCAGGAGGATTGCTGGAGGCCAAGAGTTGGAGGCGGCAGTTAGCTATGATCACAACACCACACTCCAGCCTGGATGACAGAATTAGATCCTGTCTCCAAAGAGGAAAATAAAATAATGGTAAGAGCAGATGTAGTGAAAAAAAAATTGAACATGGCAGATATAGGAGATCATTTTAAGAGAATGTTAGGTTCCATTTAAGCTCATGCCTAGGTAACTGGAATAATAAGGATGCTGATTTCCTTTTGGAAAAAGAAGATCAATTCAATTGATTGCAAAATAACAGCATGCCATTAAAATTGTTCAATAAGTAATAAGAAAATACATAACTAAACATCAGTGAAAAATTCAATCTAGATATGTAACAGTGATAACAGGCAATTTTCAATAGTATCCATTTTATAGATTATCCATATCCTTTTCCAATCAGCCTTTCATCTTTTGGCCAATGTCTTTGTCTCGAATATTTCCACTAGGAAGTAAGAAACTGGAATTATACTAAAATCTATTTCATCTCTTAATGAATAGAAGATAAAGGAGACAAAACAGTCAGAATAGGAAGATGGCTAATATAATACCCAAGCAGCATATAGTGGCATTGAATAATCAATGAATAATCAACAGTAACCTACCCTTCTTAGTACATACAGACTGAAGTATGAAAATGCTGTCATTCAATGGTACAATCTCTCTCTGAAGGAGACAAAAAAAATCATAACGGCATCAAACCATTTACATATGCACACACAATTTTTAGTTTATGAAAAAACTAACAAAGAAATCACATTTTCTCAACACACACACAGAACGAGAATAAAAATTAAAAGTTATTTATGTAATTATTTTAAAGCTAGAGTTCCAACAGCTTGAAGGAAAGATAATTTAGAAGGTAGGATAATAAATGCTAACACTACTGTAAATAATAGCAGCCCTCAACACTTAAGGACTTGTTATTAAGCTTCCCAGACCTAAGATACAAGTATGGGCCAAAATGGGAGAAAAGAGGTGAGATTTCCAATGCAACTTTCAAACATATTAGTTTCACTTACTGTAAGCTATTAAATGTTTGAAACTCAAACAGTCTTCAACAAAAGATAGAAGTTTCTCTAACGGTAGTGGCAAAAATATGTAGTATGTGACAAGGAGTTGTATAGCTTGGCCAAATTCACTATTAAAAAGTGCTTATTATGTCGGCTATGAGCAAAAATAGAAATGGCAAACAATATTCAGTTTTATTTTTAATTGAGGGAGTTCTGGTTTTTTAATTACTGTTATTCAATAAAAAAATCTGAAAGTTTATTTTAGGATGTTCTAGTTTCATATATGATGTACCTACAAATATAAATCCATAAAACTATGCCTTATAAATTATGGCAGGCATTTATTAGATCATTATATTTGTTATCCTGTTCATTTGTTATCCTGATCATTATTTCTTGAAAATTATAGTAGCTTGACATATTTCTTCTTACTATTACACCTAAGGTCAGAAAAGAGAAAAGTTTTTCTGGGTTTGAAAGAAGTGTTTTAAAAAACATTATTCATGAAATTTCAAACCTTAAAAATAAGATTTTAAAATCCTTATTATTAACACACCACCAACATACATTTATCTTATGTACTAGAGCTTTCTAAGTCAATTCCCCTAAAATAAAGACATACTTAAATAAACAGATCAAGATAAAATTTTTAAAACATAATTCTCTGTGGGTTACTTTGCTATTAGATAATGATAAAGCTGTAATCAAACACAATGTATTAGAACCACTGAATCTTAAAAATTGCACAAGTTGAAATCACATTATATCAGTCTCTGGTCTAACCGCCTGTGTAATGCTCAACCTTTCTCTAAAATATGCCCACCAAGTAATTATCCCACGTGCCTGCGTACCTCCACTTATCATGAACTTCACTACCTCCCTCCCTAATCAATTACATCTAGGCAGAACTCAAAAAAGTTCTTAACTTGGAGCCAAAAATATCCCTCCCCGTAGCTTCTATACATTAGTACTGCTTTTAATTATTGGTGCCAAGCAACAAAGTCTACTTTCTCATCACCATCACAGTTTTTTAAAACTTTGGAGACAATTTTCAAGTATCTCAGTTCCTTCAGCTCTTCCTAATATGATATGATTTTAATTACTTCTACTATTCTTATTTCTCTCTCCTGCAAATATTTCTGCACTAGCACAGAGCAGAAATCTCTGTAAACCTTGCTTTAAATAGTTCTAAAAAGTAATACGCTTAACATAAAATTAGCAAAATAGTTTTACTATTAAAATAGTTCTTATTTTACTAATTTTATGTTAAGAATGTGTTAATTTTAAGAATGTCTTTCTTAAAATACTAAATTGTAAGTATGTGTGTATATATATATATATATATATATATAAAACACTATTCATTTGTCTGATAATTATTATGTAATATTTTTCCCAAATGTGCTCTGCTAAGCTATGTTCTTCCTCATCCTATACTTACCCAAGTGGCTTCTAGACCAAAGTGCAATTTATTCTTCAACAGTGTTAGACCTATCTCATTTAGCCCTTCAAGATCAGATCGGATCCTAATTCTGTCTCACATATTCACTACATATCTGAATATCACAGAGCCTCAGTGTGGATTTTTTCTCTGTGTAGTTTTATTTCAGTCATTGACAAATAATTGACTATGATGAGGCCAAAACGGAACCAGGTAACATAATCCAGGGTGAAGGTATTCCACTAATTACCTAGCTGCTAACTCACCTAGGTATCCTTATATTGAGACCATATTTCTAAATTTTCCACAGGGATCATATCAGTCAATTTCAGGTAACTTAACAAAATCCAGATGTAATGACTTAATAAGAGATAGTCAAAGATCTTTAGGTTTTTATTCACTTCATTAAATAAATTTTTATTATATGTATATTTTGTGCCAGGAGCTATGTTGCTTGCTGGTGATTAAGGTAATGAAGACACTGCTCTCATGGAGCTTACAATCTAGTGGGGAAAGCAGACAATTACAATAGATAATTATCATACTGTATTATGTATGAGTGGCAATTGGGGAACTGTGGGGGCACAGAATGTGATTATCTAAATCCTCAGGATTAGGAAAGGTTTCCCAAAGAAGACAATAGGGTTTGAGTCTGAGTTAAGTTTGAGGTCATTATGAAACAATCAGATTAAAATGTTGGATGTATGGGTGTGGTGCTCTTCAAAGAGGTACGGGCTGTATACACAGACATAGAAATCAACAGTAAGTGGTAGTTACAGCCATGAATTTGGATGAGACCCATGGACACAGGCTAACTAAAAAGAAGAAAAACATTGGCATTTCAGGGAAAGGGAAGAACACTTGCAGAGATGTGAAAGAGCACGGGTATATGAGAGTTGATGCGTGTGAGGCTTAGGCAGAGGCAGGGGTCGGGATGGGGAAGATACTGCTGGAGGTATCAGAGGCTAGTTCATCAGGAACCTTGTGTGTGGAGCCAAGAAATTTCCACCTTATCCAGAACACTATGGTGTCCTTTAAAGTGTTCTCAATATTGACATGACCTGACTGGACTCAAGACACTATTGGGAAAATACACGGTAAGGTCAATGTGGCATATAAATTAATGGAGGAGGATAAGATGCAGGAAAACTGAAAAGGAGTCAATGAAGAGGGTGGGAAGGAGTAGCTAAGGCAATGTCCCACATGGGAATGAAAACGTAAGACGTATTCCAGTGATAGTAATTGATGAGTTCTGGTGACTACTGAATTTGAGAAGCTAAGGTAGAAAGAGATGGTCTAAGGTGATCCCCAGGATTGTAGTATGAATGAAAAGGTGGAAATGGTGTCATCTGGTGAGAAGAGGAGTTCACCACTCTTAATACAGTGATTATTCATTGTATTATTCACATGATTCTGAGTTCAGGTTTTATCATTTCAAGTTAAATTTGAGTTTCATGACGGGACGGTCAAGTTGAAATGGTGGATGTATGGGTGTGGCACTCTTTAGAGAGATCTGAGCTGTACATAAAGACTTAGGAGTTAACAGTGAGTAGATGGTAACTACAACCATGGATTTCTACAAAATCACTCAGGTAGAATGAAAAATCAGAGGAAAGACCAAAAGATTAAAGGCAATGTCAAATGTAAGCTGTAAAATAAAAAGGTAACTGTCCAAGGACTTACCTAAAATATTTTTATTAATTTAAAGTGTATTTCTTATTTGTTAACACATATTAAATTTCTAAGTTTTTGGAAGCAAATTTATCAGATACTTTGTCAATCTGGTACTAGTGCTTCACTTACATATCAAAAGACAACAGGTTAGAAAAAAGAAACAGCAAAGAGGCCAAGAAAAGTTTATGATCTGACTCAAGCTCAGCATCAATATTAAATCCTAGAATATCAAGGAACTCAAGTCCTTTATTTCTCCTACATTTTAAAACATGTTTCCTCTATTTACAGTCTTGAGGGGAAATGTTGTTATAACAGTAAAACTGGAAGATTTCACTCTGGATTGCTGCACATGAACTGCTTATGTCTATGCACCCACATTGCTTCATCCACTCTACTCAAAAAAAAAAAAGTATAAACAAATGAAAACATCACTGGGCAAGAATTTTACCATCCTGAGGAGTATTAGGGTAGTCTGTACTTGATTTCTGGGTTTTGTAATTTTCAATATTCCTCTTAGTCAAGATGTTTAATAAATAAGCAACTTACACAGGCTAAGCAAACTGGATCATTCTCTGAGATACATACAATTTGCATATTCTTTCACAGCCCCTTATTATAGCTCAAATTCTTAATCAAGGCATCTGAAATAAATTTGATATGATAGATCCAATCACAGTCAGGGACAACCCTAGTCTTCTAAAGTTCTTAATTCAGTGACAATCAGAATTCTTAATAAAATGCTCAAATGAAAAATATACAACTCTAACTCTCCAAGGTACATCCACTTTTTAACAAGCCAGACTTCCAGCAGCATCACATCACAACTGTTAATAAAGCTTGATCTAGTCTCATAATTATTTTTAAAAAACCTATAATGTAAAAATTCAAAGATAAAATTTCAATTAATTACTCAACATATCTAAAATATTGAGATGTGGGCTTAACAGGTATATGTTGGGTCTTCCACTTGAAGATGTCATATTCATCAGAAGAGAACTCTTATTGTTATACTCTTTATCTACTAAATTTAACTTTGAAAATCTGTCTTAAATAACTATACACACCGTAAGTATATACAGTCTACACATAAGGCTATTTAATAATGTAGTTGTGAAAAGAGAATGTCCTCTAAAATACTCTCGTAATATATATGGTAGTTATAAGATTTGCTGTTGCCATCTTCAGAATAATTTGATTATGACATTTGATGTAGGATGGGGGGTGGGTGTACTGGGAGAACAGGAGCCTTATCAGCTTGCTCAGATACAGAAACCCAAGATGGCTTGATTCCATACATAGAATTACGGTGACTATATGACATAGACAACAGTTTGTGTTAATGTCCCAACATTCATCAAAGAAAAGGTAATAGAAAGAATATCTAAAACACAAAGAAGTGTCCTTTCGCTTAGGAATACTAAGGCCTGACAATGTCCAGTTCCCTAAAATGCTAATCTCCAGCTTGTGGCACAAAAACAGTAACAGTGAAGAGTTGAGATGGTTGTAGATTGTGGTTATTCCTGAACCTGCCTCCATTGTTCCCAGCTGATATCCAGCTGGGCAGATGGCCAAGGAGGGACACACAAACATAATTCAGGGCCATTGTGTCATATACCCAGAAATTTGGCCCTGACATCAGAATATGCTGCAGCACTAGAATAAGCAGGACTATTAAGGGTGAAAATCAGGAAATATCCCTTCACATGGAGCTGAATTTAATGCTAGACATTACGTGGATCATGATACTCTCTCCAGAATTTTACTCTCACAAATTCATACAAACACCTATTACAAAATACCAATTCTAGTGTCCTTTCTTTACAAAATATACTTCCCAAAATGTACCTCATCTCTTATGGAACATCTGTAAAACCATAATAATCTCTATTTAAATAATAATGATGCTGGAATAAAATGTTATCTATGATCAATATTACATTTGAGAAATATTAATTGAAGATGACCTGTAATAGAAAATTAACTTTTATTCCAAATCACTGCATATATTGCATTATTACCTAAAAGCACGTTATATTTTGAGAAAGTTGTTTACTTATATACTGTACAATTGCTCTATTTTACTTTCATTGACCAGTAATGTTAATCTTTCCTATTAAAAAAAAGACTTGGCCAGGTGCGGTGAACCACGCCTGTAATCCCAGCACTTTGGGATGCCAAGGCGAGCAGATCACCCAGGGTCAGGAGTTGGAGACCAGACAGGTCAACATGGTGAAATCCTGTCTCTACTAAAAAATACAAAAATTAGCTGGGCGTGGTGGTGGGCACCTGTAATCCCAGCTACTTGGGAGGCTGAGGCAGGAGAATTGCTTGAACCCGGGAGGTAGAGGTTGCAGTGAGTAGATAATTGTGCCACTGCACTCCAGCCTGGGTGACAGAAAGAGACTTCATCTAAAAAAAATAAACAAGACTCCACACCACAAAACTTTGTCTTTTGTGGGGGATGTGTTGGATTTAGAATTTGTGTTTTCAAGTAATTTCAAATTTAATGACCTGCTTTCTACAAAATATCCTAATCTCCTAATATAACCTATTTACAATTACTAAATTAGAAAATTGATCTATCATATGAATTTCCTTTTGCCATGCATACATATGAACTGACCTTAAGATCACAGTTACCTATCTGACTTTTAAATAAAATATTATTAAATATTTTAGGGTTTTTTTAAAAAAAAACTTTTTGAACTGGTATTTGCTCAAAACACAGTATATCAGTATCCAATTAAAGTTGCACAGCACATTTAGCATAAGAAAAAAATAGTGACTTTTTCTACTTTTGTAAACAGTGTATAAAAATTATATAAACCCATGGCATGATTTAAAAAAAGAAAACTATAAAACCACCTTGAACATTGGGAATTAATTCTTACATTCTAAACCTCTCCTCACCCTATCATTTTCTGTCTCTGTAACAGATGGATATACATTCCGATATGAAAAGTTTTGTTGATGTGTGTCTTCATAAACCACCTTACTTTTATAAAACACGCAATAACATTTCTCCATATAAGAATATAAGACATGAAGAACATACGATGGGCATAGATACTGCTTCTTTTTCCCCTTCCCTTTCTTTGAAGACTTTTCCTTAGAATAGGCTTCTTCCACCCACAAGGAAATTAAAATTAAAAAGGCAGTTGTCAATAAAAACTTCATCTTGAAAACTTGAATTTCAGAAGATCGATCTACAAGAGAGAACAAGAAAATGTTTACATTTATGAAGAAAATGATAACTATATGACTGTCCCTTTAAAGAGTATAAGCATTACTACCCAAAGGGCAAGTACATTTGTACATCAAATCCTCATTGCTCAGTCCTATGTGGTAATACTTCACAACATATTTAGTATTTTTTATATAGTAGTTGTAAAGTCTTTTTTATATAGCAGTAAAAGTCAGTTTAAATAATGGCACATAGAAAACAAGACCGCCAACGAGATATAATAGGTTACTGTATAAAATTTCTGATTCTATAGCTACACAAAATTATAAATTGATATTGAATTGCACAGTATATCAAAAATATGTTCAGAAAGATATCTGGAAGCATGGTTTAACACAGCGTTAAAATGATTATCTTCGGCTAGTACTTTGGAAGTATCTTTTTCTTTTTAAATTTTTATATTGTTTGAAGTTCTTATGTATATTTTTTCAAAAATAATGTATTTTAAAGAAAAAGAAATTCTAAGTATTAAAAAAGACAGATAAAAGAAAAAGTTAATATCAAAGAGTTCCACATTCAAAATTCATTGCTTTTTTTATTTAAACACATTACATTGGCAAGCTACCTTTTTGCCCCAAAAAGGTGCCTCTTAAGTTAGCTTTAAAGCTTTCTTACTTATTTGCTACTAACATTTGTCATCAAAAAGATTACTTCAGAAATTCTACAACAAGAAATAAAACAAGTGTTGTTACATTTTTTTCAAATTATCGTCCTAGCCATATTTTAATAACATTTTCATGCTCAAATCAGAACCATATTCTTGCCAGAGATTCTGATAAATAAAAAATAATTAAGCCTCTACCTACACTAGAGAAGTTCAAACTCTTCTGCAACCTTCATTTCCAAACCATAAATTGTTTCTCTTTCATTGTTTTCCGCAGAGTAAAAGACCTGTCATATTCTTCAACGCTAACTTAATTCCCATCTCACCCTCAGAAATTTGCTTCTCCTTATGTCATGTTTTTCATCTTCCCCCCCCCCCCCCAGGATTCTTCCCCCCATATTTATCTTTTACACACACTCCAGGCAAGCCAGAGGGGCTTCTCCCTGGGTACTTTAAATTGAAGACAACAGAGGGGGCTCATCAGACCAACAGCAACAACACAAGGTTCTCCTCTGGCAACTTCACAACATTGGACGCTCCCTTCCCCCATCCGACAGCGGCACCTGCTTCCAGACACCTTGCCCACAGCAGCAGGTACTTCTCCCACTTTCACATCCTTGCCCCCGCAAAAAGGAGGGCCGAGCCCCCCTAACGCTTCGAAAAACAGAGAAATTCACCACTCTGCTCTGTCCTCACCCCCAATCTTTCAAGGGGGACAGCTGCATTGACTGGAGGATCCTCATAAACAAAACAACGCAAGGAGCCCTCCTGGCCAACCTTGCGTTTCCTAATTACCCCGGCCCTCTGCATCTCTCCACCCGGAGCGTCTCCGCGGGCGCCACCGCAGCGGGGACCCGGCTGCCGCTGCCAGGCGCCCCGCGCCCCTCTCCCGCGCAGGGCAGCGCGCGTCCTCCCGGGCACGCCGCAGTGCTCCTCGCGCTCCGCCGCCCCGGGCTTGACCCGCTGTTTCCGCAAAGGCGTCTATTCCCGTCCTCAGACCACCGTCGCCGCCCCAACCCGCGTCCCCTCCTCCTAAGTGGAGCTCCTGGCACTTACCCGGAGGCGCCCCTGCCCACAATCGCCGGGCGAGATCGTGGAGGCTCCGGGCCCAGGTGGCAGTGGCTGCTAAGGGTGCAGCGGGCGCCGAGCGGGGGCAGCTGCGTCCCAGCCGCCCGCGCCACCGCCGAGCTCGGCTGACGCGCCTGCTCGGGCCGCGGAGCCTGCGCCGTGGCGCGCCGCGGTCGGGGCCGCAGCGGGGACAGCGCGGGCCGCGGGGGAACCTGGCGACCGCGGGCGGGGGAGGGAAGAGGTGTCCCGACAGAGCAACGTCACGGCATCGTCCCCTTCAGGCATTGGAGGGGTTACCGAGCAGAAATGTGTACCCCCCTCACTCCTTAGGGGACTAAAGGAGTTGGGGACGAAGGGCGGGAATGATAGTGTCGGTACAAAAAGAAAAAACCTTTCAAGGAGCTGGGATTGCTTGGGGTCAGCTTTTGACCACTAGCAACAAACAACAGAGCAACAAATGACCTTCTTGGGTCAAAGCGAACAAAACACATTTTCTGTCATTTCACCATTTGCCTGGAACCCAGACATCCAGCTTAATCTCCGGGTCTTCCAATTTCTAAAAGCCTGAACTTTCTGAGCAAGCTTAAATTGGTCAAAATTACTGACAATATAGTCATACAGGTAATACTATGTTTAACATCTGTTACATAATTAACATGTGTACAGAACTTGACAGTTGCAAAACACCTTTCACTCGCCTTATCTCATGTGGCCCTCACCACATTCCTGGGCAAGTTTTGTCATCCCCTTCTGTAGATGAAGAATCTGAAACTCAGTTATATTAAGAGATTTACTTAGAGTTACAGATCTTGAAAGAAATTTACCAGAGATTCAAAATTAGTGATTTTTGCATATCTGAACCAGACAGGGTCTCTGCCTTATAAGAGCAAAATACTGTTGTCCTCATCCTTGTGAAGAAGTAGCCCTTACTTGGATATGCAGCCCTTAGATAACAGATAAGGCTATCCTATTACCTCTTGAATGTATGCCTGATTGATTTTTTTTAATTGTTATTTTTTAAGCAACAGGAGCTCACTTTGTTGCCCAGGCTGGAGTGCAGAGGCACAGTCATCGCTCACCGCAGTCTTGAACTTCTGGGCAATCAAGAGATCCTCTTGTCTCGGTCTCCCTAGTAGAGTAGCTGGAACAACAGACAGGCCATTGCGCTCCACTAATTATTATTATTATTTTTTAAGAGACAGCATCTCTGGCTTTGTTGTCCAGGATGGTCTCCAACTCTGGCCTGAAGCCATCCGCCTGCCTTAGCCTCCCAAGCTGGGGGGCTTACAGGCTTGAGCCACCCCACCCCACTGCACCAGGTCCTGATGGATTTTTTTTATTAAAAAAGCATTGTCTCAAGTGAGCATCACTTAGCATTGTATTGTGGACCCACAGATGTATCCACTAATAAATTTTTCCACCCGCAGCATATGGAGGGAAGGAATATTTCCTGCATATAACCGTGTTCCATAAGCTTCATGAGATATTCTGCTGCCTAAGAGTAGTGATCATTAATAAGTGATCATTACCTTATTTACATTACAAAATGATCATTATTCAAAGAGCTGTACTGTTTGAAGACCCCCCCGCCAAAGTGGATCAGGATATAACTTTGGATTTTAATGCTTTATTAGAGAGAACTATATTGATAATATACGTTTCATAAGATATAACTTTTGGTGAATAGGTCATATGAAGAATGATAAAGGAATTAGTTTTCATGCAGCCAGGGGAGTTTAGAAGTTGGCGAAAACCTTACACTTAGTTTTCAATTAATCAAGAAATTATTAAGAGTTTAGAATAATAGGAATTCCGATTCCTGTAATAAAATGAACATCTTTTATTTACAAACTCTAATGTCCACATTTGGAAGAACTATGCTGAAAATACCTACAACAGACTTGCTCACCTTCCCTAGTATTGTTTCTGTGCCATCCATGGATGTTATATTGGAGAATTAGGTTATTCAGAAGAAAAGCAAGTCCAGCAGGTTGGATGGGTTTGTAGGGTTTTGGCCCAAAGGTTAAGAAATATAGTTGATGCCCTAAAAGCACTTCTTCTAGCCTGTAAAATGGTCAAGTTCAGAATTCTGAAAATTTTTTTCTATGAAAGTGATCTGCTTACCTATATTTCTATAACTTTTATATCATAGTGTGAAAAGGGATGCTTCTAAATAATGTCATGAAATAACCTATTTTCCCCAATTCTGTCAAGTGTTGATCTACTTTTCTCTATTTATTTCTATCAATATTCACTCCTTTAGTAATTTCATCTGGTCACAAGGTTTTAAACACCATGTTGATAGCTCCCATATGTACTTCTCCTGACTAGACATCTCTCCAGAACTCCAGACTCATCTATCTAACTGCCTTTTCAACATTTCAACTTGCGTATTTAATAAACATGTCAAACTCAGTGTGTCCCAAACTGAGCTATGGTTCTCCCTAAAATCTGCCCCACATTCAGCCTTCTCCTTCTCAGTTCACGGCAACCTCATCCTTAGGGTTGGTCAGGCTAAAAATCATGAAGTTGTTCTTGATTCCGCTCTTTTTCTCACACCTCACAACCAAATCTCTGAGGAAATCCTGTTTACTCTCAAATGACAACAGGAATTCAGCTACTTCTTATGATTTTTACTGCAGCCAACCTAGACTCAGTGACTTTCATCTCTACGTTAGATTACTATAATAGCACTTTAGCTACTCACCCTGCCTCTATCATTGTCCTCTCCTACCCTTGAGTAATCTCAAAACAGTAGCCAGAGTGATCCCTTTAAAACATGTCATAGGTCATATTGTGTCATTCCTCAACTCAACACCCAGCAGTTAGTCCCCATTTTATAAACCAGTGTTTACAATGGTCTACAAACCTTCAATTGTTATGCATCTCCTCCCCCTAACTCTGACTTCTTCTCTCCTAATGGCTCGCTCTCTTTCAGCCCTGCTGATCTTGCTGCTTCTCCAACATGCCAAAGCCAGGTATGGTCCCATCTTAGGTTATTGGCTCCTCTGTCTAAAATGCTTTCCCCCCAGACCACCACATGACTGACTCCCTCATATCTTCAACATCAACCCAGATGTCACCGTCTCACAGAGATTTATCCAATGTTATTTAAAAGTGCAAACCATCTCCCATCCAAAGATTTCCAATCCCCCTTTGCCTGCTTTTCTTTTTGTTTTCATAGTACTTATTACCTCCCAACTCATCATACAATATACTTACAGTTTGTGGCCTCTGTTTCCTTGCTAAAATGTAGGCTTCATGAAGGCAGAGATTTGTATCTATTTTTGTCCATTGATGTTGCCCACACACCTAGAATAGTGTTGAATGAATGTGTAAATCTTGGCCTCATTTATTAATTTCTTCAAATTTCATGTTTCTTTATTAGTAAAATGAAAATGACAATGCATAATTTGCAGGATTGTACCAAGAAATAAACAGGTTAATTGACGTTAAAAATCTGCTGCAGAGAAGAAAAGTCACAAAGAATTAACCTCCCCTATTTTTGCTTGTTTTTATTTGCTTAATGGAATGATAGAATTTTGTTGTGGCTGTTTTTTTTTTAATTATTTTTAATTTTTGTGGGTACATGCATTTTTTGCTTACTGGGACCCTGTTATCCATTTCTTTCTTGTACGTCTACACTGAGAACATTTTGTAGGCCTACATCTAAACACTAAAAACCTTCTAACCTTCTTTTCTTTCTTTTTTCTTTTTTTTTTTCTTTTTGAAACAGGGTCTGGCTCTGTCGCCCCGGTTGGAGTACAGTGGCATGATCTTGATTCACTGCAACCTCCTCCTCTCATGCTCAAGCAAACTTCCTACCTCAGACTCCTGGGTAGCTAAGGACTCTATTTTCTATGCATCCATCTTCACCTGGCCTATAATATATTTATTTTATTTGACTTGATAATAAAACCTAAATACAGCCCTAAATATCTTCTGTTATACTAAGAAATCAAACTTTGGATACAGAGAGAGTATTCTCACCAAATCATTTTTTGTGTGTGACATAAGTACTCATCACTGTTGCCATTGCCTAAATAGCCTTACAACATGGTTTAAAGATATAAATTATTTTTTTCTGTATTCTCTCTACATGAGTCATACTTCCTCTTTAATGACAGCCTGCACTGTAATAGTCATTCATGAAATTTTTCATCAAACTTTCAGTCCATTTACCACTATAATGATCAGATATTTTCAATAAAAGTATGTCCAGCTGTTTTAGATATGGTTCTCCTCCAAATCATCATCTTTAAACATTTATCAAAATAGATAATGGGAGAATAAATATAAATAAAGAGAAAATTACAGCAGAAGATGATGAGAATAGTGGGACAGTAATTCAGCATCTTGCAAACACTGTTCATAAAACTTGAAAGACAGTAAAACTTACATTAGGAAATGTTGATTTGTAGCCAGTCTTATTAGAATAATAAAAACATTATTTGATATTTGATAAAATCACTTCCATATGTTTTCTTCAAATAGCACATTATCCTTAAAATGTTCTGCAATCTCTTATTTTTAAACTAACTTTTAAACAATAATAGCCATCTTTCATTGATTACCTATTAATTGCAAAAAAATTTTCTACATTATGGTTTTAAAACTTCAAAATTTACTTGCAAGTTATTTTCATATCCATATTTTTGATGAGAAACCAGAGGAGAGGCTCAGAAAGGGAATTTAACTTATCCGGAATATTAGACTTGGAAGAGGAAGAGATAGGATTATTTCATCTTTCATGTCCTTTACAACATTAAGACTGACTCCAATTGCACATAGGCAAGTGAAAGAAGCTTAGTTTTTAGTCGTAGATGTCTTTGTACAGAATACTGAATGCAAATTAAAAAATTGAAATCAAAGGGGTTGTTCTTACCTCCAATTCCAGATTGGCCTTAAAGATGAACTAATATGTGAGTCATTTTTTACTTAATATTTTGGCCTTAAAGATGAACTAATATGTGAGTCATTTTTTACTTAATATTTTTTCTGTTCATCATATTAATAATAGCAAAAATAGTAATGACCATCGTCATTGATTGACAGCAAAGTACTTTGAATTTATTATCTCCTCAATACCTTTATGAGGTTAATACTTTTCTTGTTGCAATTTACAGATAAAGATCCCCAGGCATCATATAATTTTTCCGAAGTCAGTTTACTAGTAAGTGATTGAGAGAGATATGTATCTAAATATGTCTGATTCTGGAAGCTGGCCCTTAAAATATTTTTGTGTGACTCTAAATTGTATATTCAATAACGTCTTATGATACACAGAATGACAATACTATTCAACCAAAATACCACACTAATTGTGATGATATGAGAAGAGAGAAGAAATGTGGATAATATATTTCTATTTACAAATTTGAGTGTCACACTGTCTTTCATTTAATTGAGGAAACAGTCCAGAACAATTAAGTAGCCCACGTTAGTATCTACCAATCTGCCAACAGTGCTTACCCCCATGGGGAAGAACCATGTGTGCCTTGATGTGTGTGGACTTAAAACAGATATCAAGAGTGTAATGCATTGTCAAAGTATTCACTGCTATGACACAGCTTTTTAGATAAATTAGACATATATCCTAAGTCCTTAGCAAAAAGTAAAAACACCTTCCTGTATGAAAATGACATGTTATTATTAGTGTATTTCAAGAATATGTCTTAAAAACAAATAAATCTATTGTTATTCAGAGTTCTATTATTAAGGCAGTGTCAATATTCATAATACAGAATCATGAATTTTGGCCAAAATTCTTTACATCCAAGTAGGTATTACCAAGCAACTGTCAACCACAGATCAGTTTGTGCCAGTTATTTATTCTTCTTATTTTGTGGTCAACATGTGATAGGCAGCTCATTCGGGACTGCTCCAAGCCAAACATTGCTTCGAAGCAATGATGACAGTTATTGTGGCAGGAACAGATGACTGGTAACTCAGGCCCACAAATTTCCCAAACAGAATCTCTTCCAAAAGCAGTTTTTACCAAGTCAGAGCGAAGTTATTGTTGACTCTTTTGAATCTGCCCATCAGCATTTTTGCAGATCTGAGAAGAGGTCATGCTATCCTCCACAAGCCAGGATTTCAAGTCCTAAGTGTTCGTGACAACATGTCCTCTTCCCCTGGAATCTAAAATAGATATGTAATCTCAGTTTAATAAGCAATCCAAAAATCTGCCTTTTAGAAGCTTGTCAATAATGTCAATCTTGATTTTTTTTTGTTTTCTCCTTCCTTTAAGACCTAGGTAAACAGTTAATATTGCAGAAGCATTACATGAGGATCATGTAAAGAATTTATTCTTCCAGATTTTCTCATACCAAGACAGTTCAACTGAAAGCTCCAAACATGCAGATTATGAATTCTAAATCTGGCCTCATGGGAAATGTTTTATATTAACCATACCAGTAAAATCCATTTATAATTTTTATATATATGGTATGAGATAAGATGAACAAGAACCAGCACTCTACTTTAGCAACTTTATTAGAATAAGCAAGTGAATAGGCAACAGTCATACAAATAGTACAAATTAGCTATAGAAAGAAAACCATTGCATTTATCAAATTATTAAAGTTTTTAAATAAGACTTTAAAAATAGCTTCCCTGTGCCAGGCCCAGTGGCTCATGCCTGTAACCCTAGCGAAGGTGAGTGGATCGCTTGAGTCCAGGAGTTCAAGACATGCCTGGGCAACATGGCAAAACCCATCTCTACAAAACATACAAAATTTAGCCAGGCACGGTGGTGTGCACACGTGGTCCGAGCTATTCAGGAGGCTGATGTAGGAGGATCTCCTGAGCTCGGGAGGTTGAGGTTGCAATAAGCTGAAATCATGCCACTGCACTCCAGCCAAGGCAACAGAGTGAGATCCTGTCTCAAAAGAAAAAAAAAAAGAATGAAAGAAAAATTAGGCTCACCGAGCAAGCTCTCAACATTTCATCATCACTAAGTATGTACTTACTTAAGTTTGCCAGGGGTTTTTGAGATTATATCTTCCTAGCTGAATTTTAAAAAAAAAATTATCAATAGAATTTATATGTAGTACTGGTGCAGAGGTAGAAGAACATTTGTTATGGGGTAATAACATCAGCAAAGAGGTAAAAATACAGTTCTGAGGCTGGCTTGGCTGGGAAATGTGCAAAAAGGAAAGTTTCTAACCCATTAGGTTGGGTTAGAAAAAAAAAAAAGGGACCAGAATAAAATGTTTGGAGAAAATTCTACAGGTTAGCATTTTTTAAAGCATGTTCGATTCAACATTAGCCCTCAGGATGCTTCATGGTGGGGGTGAAAAAAGAAAGAAAGAGAGAAATCAATGAAAAATATTGTCTTTCTCTTAAGATTTATAAAGTATTTCTGAGATTTATAAGTATTTTAGCATATTAATTTTTGTTGTTGCTTTTTAAACATTAATTTTTTTTATAGAGACAAGGTCTCACTATGTTTGTCCAGGCTGGTCTCAAACTCCTGAGCTCAAGTGAACCTCTGGCCTCAGCCTCCCAAAGTGCTAGGTGCTTACTGCCGTGAGTGACCACACCTGGCCTGTTATATTATAAATTTTTTAAAAATTGTCAATATTGTTTAACCGAGTTCAATGGACTGAATGTTTTTGTACCCTAAAAGCTCCTATGTTATAGTCCTTTCCCCCATGTGACAGTAGTAGGAGGTAGAGCCTTTGTGTGGTAATTAGGTCATGAAGGTAGGCCCTTATGAATGGAGTTAGTGCCCTTATAAAAGGGACCCCAGAGAGCTCTCTAGCCCCCTTCCTCCATGTGAAGACACAGCAAGACTGCTATCTGTGAACCAGAAAGTGAATTCCTACCAGACACTGAATTGGTAGACACCTTGACCTTTGAATTCCCAGCTCAACTGGCAGGAAAGGGAATATAAATTGTGGTTAGAAAATTTCAGGAAAAACTTTCTTACAGGTAGCCTGAACTACTTCACTGTCCTTCTGCTACATTCCCTTGACAAAATTCCAATAGTGGGTAAAGCCTACTACCTGCTTTCTCCAAACTGAGTCAACAGATTAATTATGCAGTAGAATACAGATGGTCTTTAATTTAAAGTGGTTGGACTTAACAATAGGTTTATCAGGATATAACCCCATCAGAACTCAAAAAGCTTCTTATGAACAACAAGGTTTCTACTGAATATGTATCACTTTTGCACCATCGTAAAGTTGAAAAATCATTAGTAGAAACACTGTAAGTCAGAGACCATCTGCTCTGTTCCCAGCATTAAATGCATTTTGACTTATATTACTTTTGGACTTAAGGTGTGTTTATTGGGACATAACCTGATGTAAGTGCAGATGCATCTGTAGTTTAATTGTCATGTATAATAGAGAAACCCTTTATATGCTCAGGAATTTTATTATGGTAGCTCTTGTTTTCCATGGTTATTTCATACATTCTCCACTCTCCTCAAACCTCCAAGCATATTTTTCCTCCTCAGTCTCAAGAGATGAGAAAATGGAAGCCATCAAAATGGAAATGCTTTCAAGTTCATTCAACAAATCTACTTATGCTATGAATTTTTCTTTTCTCCTTCTATTCTGTTAAGATAAAACATTTCTTCTGTGTTTCTTCTGTCCAAGATCAATTCCTCCACCTGTGCTTTGAATCTTATCCACCTCTCATGAATTCAGGAATTCTGATACATCAGTTTTCCTCTCCCTTCTCTTTACCTGTGTCTTTACCCTTTCCACTGACTCCATCTTTCAACAGACAAAAGTTTCCAACATTTAAAATGAAAACCTTGTTCCGCCCCAGCCTAAGTATGAAGCACATTCAAGTTCCACTCCTGGCCCTCAACAGCCAGGCCTTCAAGAGCAAACACTTGCAAACCCTCTGTCTGTCTTCATTTTCTTACACGTCTCTCAAATGTATTGTAATTCAGTGTCTTCCACTGCACGTGCCCTGCTCAAACCAGCATCACCAACAATTTGAACATTCTAGAATTTTTACCTTGTTTGACCTCTCTTCATCCCTTGATGTAGCAAATGGTTCTCTCTTACATGAAAATTGCTCTTCCTTTGACTCTCTCTTCTCTGCTTCCTTTGGCTATTTATTCTTCATCTCATTTATAGGTTTTTATTATTCTACCCATTTCTTAAAAACTGATGGTCCTCAAATTTCCTTCTCAGGACCTCTGGTCTTCTCACTCTACATAATCTCTCTGTTCATTTCATCTACTTCTATCACTTCAAGTAGCATCTCTATTTGTGAATATCTGAGTCAGTTCAAGCTTCTATAATAGAATACCATAGATTGAGCACATTAAACAACAACCATTCCTTTCTCACAGTTTTGGAGGCTGGGAAGTCCAAGATCAGGCACCAGCAGATATTATGTCTGATGAGGGGCTGCTTTCTGGTTAGCAGGCATCTGTCTTTTCATTGTATTCACGCATGGCTGAAAGATAAATCATCTCTGGTGTCTATTTTATAAAGGGACCAATCCCATTCATAAGAATTGCACCCTCATGACCTAATTACTTCCCAAAGGTCTCACTTCCTAATACATCATCACATTGAGGGTTAGTATTTTAACATATGAATTTGAGGGGGACACAAACATTCAGTCAATAATAATTGATGACCTAAAAGTGTCTTTTAGCCCAGAATTATCTGGGAGTTTCAGAACTATATCACAACTGCTTCCTAGACATCTCTATTAGAGGATCTTGCCAGAATTCGAAATTAGAAATATACAATCCTCTGCAGATCTTTCCAAACTTCTCATACTCCAGGGCTTAATATTTCAATAAAAACTACTATTATGTATCCAGTTTCCCCAGTCACCTTGTACCATGTGCAACTGCACGCATTATACTTCAGTCCATTCACCTCTTTCTCTTCTTCCAAAAAGCCAAACCTATCTCCACCTAAAGGCCTTTACAATTGTGCATTTTATGAGGAATGCTCTTTTACCAATTCTTCCTACAGTTAGAGTGTTCTCATTTATCATTACCTGAAATGTGTTCTTAGCATTTCCTGTCCCCCTAATTAGCATCACATGTTACTTTCCACCTCATTATGCTATTTGGTCTCCTTACAGCCCTTATCACGGCCTGCAATTGTCTTGTTTGTTTCTTTACTTGTTTGTCTCCTCCACTAAAATGTAAGGTCTCTTAGAGATTATGCCTATCTGAATCATCACTGTATCTTCTGCATTTAGCACTGTCATGGTGACATAATAGAAACTTAATAATTTTTTTAATAAACTTATTAGATATTTCCCTAGGTTGAAATGCAGAAGGCTACACAGGTAACCCAGGAAAGGCTAATCAAAGCTATAAATAGAAATGTGTCTACAGCTAATAATCCTTGATGGTAAATATACCATTGGACAACATAGTGAGACTTCATCTCTACAAAAAATAAACAAAATTAGCCAGGCATGGTGGCACATGCCTAGTTCTAGCTACTCAGGAGGTTGAGGTGGGAGGATCACTTGAGCCAGGGAGGTAGATGGTGCAATGAGCTGAGATCGTGCCACTGTGCTCCAGCCTGAGCAACAGAGTGAGATCCTGTCTCAAACAAAAAAAAGAAACAGGCCAGGCGCGGTGGCTCACGCTTGTAATCCCAGCACTTTGGGAGGCCAAGGTGGGTGGATCACGAGGTCAGGAGATTGAGACCATCTTGGTTAACACGGTGAAACCCCATCTCTACTAAAAATACAAAAAAAATTAGCCAGGCATGGTGGCGGGCGCCTGTAGTCCCAGATACTCAGGAGGCTGAGGCAGGAGAATGGTGTGAACCTGGAAGGCGGAGATTGCAGTGAGCCGAGATCGCGCCACTGCACTCCAGCCTGGACGACAGAGTGAGACTGCGTCTCAAAAAAAAAAAAAAAAAAAAAAAAAGGAAACATACCACTGGAATATTGTATTGTACAGTGAGATCTTTTACTAATTTATTTAATTAAATCAATTAAATTACCTTTGCTGAAAGGAAAAATAAGTAAATTGAGTTCTTTAATTTTATTTTTCATACCCATGGGGATAATTCAGAAAGCCAAGAAGTGGAAATAAAATGGATACTTCTACACCTCACTTCCTTTTATAAACTTGATGCTTCACCTAAATTTTATTGAGCACTGTAGGGATAAACTGACGGGCTAAGTAACCTGCATTTAATTTTATAATTAAAAATAAAGGAGTGGGTTAACAAGTGTTCTAATTCTGAAGCTCCACATCTACATTTATGCTTGCCTTTTGCTAGCACTTTCTTTTTTCCTACTTACATGACCAACTGACTTTATTATGTCTAGGAGGAACAAGATTAAAGACTACACAAGATGGCTATGGATTGGAAATTGCTTTACCTAAGCTCAATACTATGTTAGTTTGCTAGGGCTGCCATAACAAAATACAGTTATACACATTGTTTGCCATAACAAAATACAGTTAGCTGTCCATATCTGTGGATTCCACATTCATGGATTCAACCCACCATGGATCAAAAATTTTTGAAAAAAAATTGCATCTGTACTAAACATGTGCAGACTTTTGTCATTATCCCCTCAATAATACAGTATGATAACTCTCTACATAGCATTTGCATTGTATTAGTTATCATAAGTAATCTATTTTTAAATTTGCATTTTAAAAAATTTAGGTTAATTAAATTTTCTCCAGCAATGGGACTGGAGAAGGAACAAAGAAAACTGTAACTAGTTGTAATTAATTAGTTGCAAATACTACTGCACTCAGACCAGCCTATTATAAGTAATCTAGAGATTGCTTAAAGGATACAGGAGGATGTGCATAGGTTATATGACAATACTTCATCTTTTATATCAGCGACTTGAGCATCTACAGATTTTGGTACTCGTGGAAGGTTCTGGAACCACCCCCCCACAGATGTTAGAGGAACCACTGTACCACAGACTGGGAAGCTTAAACTACAGAAATTTGTTTTGTCACAGATCTGGAGGCTAGAAGTCAACGATCAAGGTGCTCGCAAGGTTAGTTGCCTGTGAGGCCTCTCTCTCCTTGGTTTGCAGGAGATGGTCCTCTTGTTGCTTCTTTACAGGATTATCTTTCTGTGTATAGGAGTCCTTAGTGTCTCTTTCTCGTCTTGTAAGGACACCAGTAATATTGGATTAGAGCTCGACCCTAATGGGATCATTTTAGTTTAACCACCTCTTTAAAGACCTTGTCTCCAAAAATGGTTACATTCTGAGGTATTGGAGTTTCAGGATTTCAACATATCAATTTTGAGGGGGACGTAATTCAGTCATGATAAATACTATAAACAAATGTAAAAGGAAGCATAGTGAAGACTCTTACAACTTTACTGACTACTTATATATTAGCATATTAATTTATTCCCTATTCTGAACGTAGAGGCAAAAGTTGCAGACCTATTATAATAATTAGGTTTTGGATATAGCACCTGAAGTAAATACCAGATATGTGGATAGGACTTTGAAGAAGCTGAAATGGAGAAGACAATGGTGAGAGAAATTTCAAAAGAAGGATCTGTGTGCCTTGGTAACTGATTGCGAATTGTGAATTATGGTAAAAACCACTCAAAGACAACGTGTAGTTTTTGAATTCACATGACCAGGTGCTTGATGGGATATTTACAGAATTATGAAATAAGTGGAGAGGTACAGTTGTGGAAAGAAAGATAAAGTATTCTATTTCAGATGAATTCAGATTGAGGCACCAAATGATGATTTCTAATAGGCTATTAGGAATGAAAGACCCGGCTGGGTGCAGTGGTTCATGCCTGTAATCCCAGCACTTTGGGAGGCTGAGGCAGTTGAATCACTTGAGGTCAAAAGTTCGAGACCAACCTGGCCAACGTGGTGAAACCCCGTCTCTACTGAAAATACAAAAAATTAGCCAGGCGTGGTGGTACGCACCTGTAATCTCAGCTACTTGGGAGGCTGAGACAGGAAAATCACTTGAACTCGGGAGGTGGAGGTTGCAGTGAGCCAAGATCGTGCCGTTGTGCTCCAGCCTGGGTGAGAGTGAGACATCATCTCAAAAAAAAAAAAAAAAAAAAAATAGAAAGAAATGAAAGACCCTACACTCAGGAGAGTGTCAGAGATAGAGATGTAATATAACGTACCATACCAACTGATACACAAAGGGAAAATGAAAATACAGGAAAGAAAGTCCAGTTTTATCTTTGGAGATGCACTTAGAAGAAGAAAGAGAGAAATCACGGAAGTGAAGAAATGACAGAGTTTGAAAAAGTGTAATTATCAGAGCCAAAGGCTGCAATTCATCATCTTCAGTGAGTATGATGGGGTTCACAGGAAAATGAGGTATGGATGGAGTAAAGAACTAAAGGCAAGCATGAGTCAGTTACTTTGTACCAGAAACTTTATGTACAATATCTCTCATTCTGAAGGTAGATATATTTCTTTTTTTCTGTGCATTAGGGTGAGGATTAAAATGTAGCCCTTTTATCTTTTCATATCCTGCTATATGTAAATAATTTATAGCAAATTATCTAGATAGAACTTAAAAATATGGAAGTCAAAACAGTACTGAAGGGAAAATAGAATTGGTAACAAATGATAAATAAATAGGTAGACAGTTGGACATATAGATCAATCTACTGTGAAAACAAAATCTTACATTTGTCAACATCACATATGGGTCATCAATAGGAGGAAATTTCCATAATCATCCATGGAATTCATGATTACTCAAAATTGATTGTCCCAAGTGAAAACTTTTTATCCCAGGACAAAATAGTCAACTACACTTTTGATAAAGATTTATCTCTTATTCTTGTGTTCCATATATTTTATTTATTCATTCCAATTAATTCATTTCATTGCCCTATACTTTCCTTTGTAAATTAATGAAACCTAGGGTCTCACTATCACAAGTGTGTGAAGGTAGAAGGATGAGAGCTAGAATGATAATCAGACAGCAGTATTTTTTTATTCAACTTTTATTTTAAGTTCTGAGTACATGTGCAGGATGTGCAGGTTTGTTACATACGCAAACGTGTGTCATGGTGGTTTGTTGCACAGATCAACCCATCACCTAGGTATTAAGCTCAGCATCCATTAGCTATTCTTCCTGATGCTCTCTCCCCACCCTACCACAGTCCCCAGTGTGTGACAACAGTATTTTTTAAAAAAAAATAGGTAAGAAAATTACTCATTAAAAATACCACATAGCTCATTTTGATTTTATATTTCTTTTTTATTTTTCTTCTTTTCTTTTTTTGAGACAGAATCTCACTCTGTCAACCAGACTGGAGTGCATTGGCACAATCTTGGCTCACTGCAACCTCCACCTCCTGGGTTCAAGCAATTCTCCTGCCTCAGCCTACCAAGTAGCTGAGATCCCAGGTGCTAGCCACCACGCCTGGCTGATTTTTGTATTTTCAGTAGAGACAGGGTTTCATCATGTTGGCCAGAGTGGTCTTGAACTCCTGACCTCAGGCTATCTGCCTGACTCAGCCTCCCAAAGTGCTGGGATTACAGGTGTGAGCCACCGCGTCTGGCCTAATTTTATATTTCTTTTAATAAAAACATTTTTTGGCTATTTACTATGGATTAAATATTAGGTAGAAAGCTATAATATGGAAACTAGTAAGAACCTTCTGTAAAATGGTCTAAAGTGGGAGAAACAGACTGATGCTCATAAACAGTGTGGTAAGAGTTGTTCTATAGGCAAGCATCGAGAAGTCTGGAAGCAGGAAGCCCTCTCGGGGGAATCAAAGGTTTCTCAAAAGAGATGACTTGGATGATCCTTGCAAAATAATTAGGAGTTCGCTGGATTAAAGTCCTTTTGGTGCAAAGATTTTGATTCCACACAGTTAGATCACAATGTGTATGGACACTTGAATTAGGCATGAGCCAAGTGGGCATTAGTCAGAACATCAGTATTGCTGGAACATTGCAGGAAAGTGGGAAAAGATAAAGCCAGGGAGGTAAAAATGATCAGATAATGAAGAACATTGAACACCATGCTAAAGAGTTTCTTTTTACCTTGTTCTGAAGATTAGGAGAGCCATTGAAGAATTTTAAGTAGGAGATAAAACACGACCAGATTTATATTTAAGCAGTATGATTAGCAAAAGAACATGTTGATTTTGAATTGTTTCCAAATATTAAAGAATTTCATTAAAATAGATTAAGCAATGTAATGAATTTACTCTGAGTAAATCTTTTTAAAGTAA
The DNA here is from genome assembly GCF_000001405.40 of Homo sapiens. Classification (NCBI taxonomy): domain Eukaryota; kingdom Metazoa; phylum Chordata; class Mammalia; order Primates; family Hominidae; genus Homo; species Homo sapiens. The sequence continues at coordinate 157,061,118 of NC_000004.12, read as the reverse complement.
CATTCTGACTCTAAAATCACACACCATTGTTATTTCAGTTTTGTGCTATATTAATTCCCTTTTGGTATTTTTATTAAAATAGTTGTACAACTCATTTAAGGATTTTTTTATGAAATTTTTAAAAACTTTAAATCTCTCCATTAATAAATTCTGTAAAAAACTTGCATGCCAGTCGATCAATATCCTCAATTGATAACTGGCTCTATTTCAGTGAATTTGTTAAATAATTTTATATCTAAATAAATTAATAAACAATGGCACTGGCAAGAATGGCTGCTGTAACACAAATCAGTGTTATCCAAGGAACTTCCACCTCTACTGCTATGACTACAACCTGGGGTCCCTGGACCACCAGAAGCTTGATGTCAGATGGGAGGCAGATATATGCAAAATAGGAGTTTACTTGCATGCAACAGACAGGCTTATATAGGAAATATTTAAAGAGGAGGAAGACAGACATTTATATGCCAGGCTTGAAATTAGAGCATCCCTGGGGAATCTTTTTAACTAGATTAATGAATCAAAGAAGATTTCATCTAGCAAGTTTTAGAAAAAATCTTTAACACAATAAAGACAGAATTCCTATCTATTGAATATAAATCTCTGTTCATGGATTTTGGGAAGTTTCAGATGAATCATATGTTTAGATGTTATAAGGACAATGTATTAATCTTTTTTCTAGTATGGAATATAATGGTCTCTATATAGGAAAACAAATAAATAGAAAGAGAGTTGTGTCTATGCTCCTTTAGAAAGTTAATATAGTTTTAAATTTTTGCTTTTGCATGTTATCAAAAGAAAAGTAGGAATTTCCAGAAGTAATTGTTCATTTATCACCGTTCCATTTTGGTTAGTATAAGTCCTAGGGAAAATATGTGCAACTGATTGAGTTAATTGTTTCCATTTGAAAACCAAGACAGGATGTCTCAGCCAGATGCCAGTTCAGGTACAGTGTTACTGATGGGACGGCTAAATGTAATAGTGGCTTTATTAGGCTAGTGAAAGAATAAGTTTTAAATTTTACTATAAATGACACTTAGTGCAGTTTCACTGATTTTATTATGAACATTTAAATCTGCTTTGAACAAATGTGTAGCTCCAATTGGTAATGGATCTGGAAGAGGATGTGAAAAGTCAGCAAGAAAGAGGAAGTAGGCCAAAATTTAAGAAGGTCCAAAGAAACTGGAATGTTAACATGTGAATAAAACTCACTAAATTTAATAACATTTCCATTGTTTTTGAAGTAATATATTTCATTATATCCATATTGACAAGTAGATGAAAATACATTTCAAGAAATAGGTCTCTTCATTTCCACAGTTTATCAGGACAATGTTATCTTGTACATAAATAGGACAGTATTGGCTTGAGGGCTTTAGCTTGGCCAGATACAAAATGGTAATTGAAGAGCTCTTTTTTTTTTTTTTTTTTTGACATAGTCTCCTTCCTTGTCATGGAGGCTGGAGTACAGTGGTGTGATCTCGGCTCACTACAGCCTCTACCTCCCAGGTTCAAGCGATTCTCCTGCCTCAGCCTCCTGAGTAGCTGGAATTACAGGTGCCCGCCACCACACCCAGCTAATTTTTGTATTTCTTTTAGTAGAGACGGGGTTTCACCATGTTGGCCAGGGTGGCCCCAAACTCCTGACTGCAAGTGATTCGCTCACCTCAACCTCCCAAAGTGCTAGGATTACAGGCATGAAGCCATTGTGCCTGGCCTGAAAAGCTTTTCTAATACATAGATAAAGATATATTTCTGTACTTCAGCTAATTCAAATGTGAGGATCGTGTTTACTTATAAAAGCCAAAATATAAAAATACTTCCAACTTTTTTAGGCATACATTACTGTATTTAAACAGACTTCAATATAAAGAAGTTACTTTTAAACACTTTTGTTATTTGAGAAGATGGAAAAAATAATAACCAGCATGAGAGTCTATAAAAATGACTTTTTTTTTTTTTTTGACAGAATCTTGCTCTGTCACCAGGCTGGAGTGCAGTGGCGTGACCTCGGCTCACTGCAGCCTCCACCTCCCTGGTTCAAGCGATTCTCCTGCCTCAGCCTGCTGAGTAGGTAGGACTACAGGCACATGCCACCACACCCAGCTAATTTTTGTATTTTTAGTAGAGACGGGGTTTTACCATGTTGGCCAGGATGGTCTCCATCTCTTGACCTAGTGATCCGCCCACCTCAGCCTCCCAAAGTGATAAAGATGACTTTCTATGTTACTAACGAATCCTTCTTTTTAAAAATTTTCTCTTTGTTAATTACTCTGTATGTGTTTTGAGGAGCCGGAGCTGGGTTAAGAAAATAGAGGGGAATCTGGGGCCGAGGGATACAGTTTAGCAGATTGTTTAGGAGAATCCCACAGTCATTTAAATGTCCCCTTTTACAAGGAGGCTCCACAAGGAGTAGCTTTCATGTGATGTGTTTTCCAATCACAAAAGACCAGGCAGTCTGAAAAGAGAATCTGCATGAGAAAATTAGGGCGATGACATCCCATGCCATGGCTTTCATGGAAGAACTGTTTCTACCTGCTTTGTAATCATAGCACAGGGAAAAACAGAATACTCTTAGTTCATATGTCTCCCTAAGTAAAGAACTGTGGCAGGAGAATGGGAAGCCAGGAGAAGAATGCAACTTACTGCTCTATTCCATGAGGATCTCAAAAATCTGGAGGCTTCCAAGCACAACCACTTGATCTGTGGATTATAGCAGGCCAGACCATTGTCTCCTAGCCAGCAGGTGACAGAATTCATTTTTAACCTTTTACCACCTGGGTAAAACATTACCCAGATAGGAGTAAGGAAAAAAAAAATAAACTCTTAGATGATCCAAGAACACATTTAAAGGAAATTATCAAAGAACAAAGAAGAGGTTTTAAAACTTAAAAACAACAACATGATTTTTGTATATTACAAAAAGGTTAACAGAGGAAGTAAAAAAGTAGATTGCTAAAAACAAATGATCAATTTGGAAAATCAAACGTCAGAATCCTGAAATGACAAAGAAAAGAGACAGGTGGAAGATGCAACGACAGTGTGGCAGTAATGGGTTGAATTATCCTATTAAAATACCAGATTGCATTTAAAAAAGAAACAAAATTCAGCTATGTGCTTTTTACAAGGAGTGAAACAAAAACAAAATTACATAGACAGATGGCTAAACATAATAAGATGACTACACATGTTCTAAACAAATGATAATTTAAAAATCAGATAAGTGAGATATAATACTAAAACCATTAAATGAGCCCCCCCACCCCGCCAAATGTATATTTATCGTGATAAAGACTGGATTCAGGACTTCCAGTTTTAGCTCCAAGGTATAAAGTGCTTGGAAGTTGTCACTCCTGTCCTTCAACAAGAAAAAGTTGGATAAAATGAAAATCAATGACTTTTTTTAGCCCTATCGGAGAACTAAGTTTGCCATGCAGACCTCTACCCTGGAATCTGGAGAGAGGAAAATTCAGTCTGAGCTGAGATCTGCTTACCTAGAGTAGAGCTATTAAAAATATAAACTGCTAAGGACACTTAAATGGTAATTTTGACAAATTGCTAGAGACTGAGTGCAGACTAACATGAGAGGGAGATATTCCCAGGGGCTCCATACTTCATGAGCTTTTCTTCCCTGATCTCTACCAGGTTCTCACAATGAAGACTGGAGAAATATCGTCCTTGCTCTGGCAAGGGGAGGGGAAAAGTAATCACTGTGGAATATGGGTTTCTCCATAACAAAGACCTACTCTCCAGGGAAAAGACCTTATTCCAGAGCTGCAGAGGAAGAACATTCCTCTTACTCCAGCCTCCTCTAGCTTTTCTGTCTCAGCTAGGAAGGGAAGTTATACAAGAAGAAACCCCTGTGAAGCTCACAGGCCAGAGACACAGGCCCCAGTAAAAGACCAAGATTTAATTAGAAGATTATGGAATGTTTTTCTATACCTACCTTACCACTGCACCCAAAGAAGTCTTGTATCATAGTGAATTTCAGCTGAGAAACAGACTGTAAGGAAGGGTATAGTAGTTCCCCCTTATCTACAGGGGATCTTTTCCCAGACCCCCAGTGGATGCTTGAAATCGTTCATGATACTGAACCCTATCCATACTATGTTTTTCCCTATATGTACATGTGTATGAGAAAATTTAACTTAAAAATTAAGCAAAGTAAAAGGTTAATGACTATTATAATGAAACAATAATTCTAACAATATAATGTCATAAAAGTTATGTAAACGTGGCCTCTTGCTCTCTCAAAATATCTTATTCTACTATATTCACCTATTGTTGGACTATAGTTGATGGCGGGTAGATGAAACTGCAGAAAATAAAACTGTGCATTACAAGGGACTACTATAAGCCCAAAGTCAAGAAGGAAGTCAAAAATAAAAACACTCAAGCCAAGCTTTTGGCACCTATAGCTACACCAAATGTAAATAAAGCCCAGCTCCTAACCAGATTAACATGAAACTTTATTCCAAAGGCCTACTTACCTCTGTTCCTATAACCAATAAAACATGTCCAGCATTCAACAAAAAAATTACAAGGTACAGCCAAAAGCAAGAAAAAATAACAGTCTCAGATACAATACACATGTCACAATCATCAAACAGGGAATTTAAAATAACTATGATTACTGTAGTAAGGGCTCTAACGGGAAAAGTAGCAACACGCAACATCAAATGGGTAACATAAAAGTGAAAGATGGCAATTCTCAGCAACAATAAAAAGAAAATGTGGAAATCTAACGGGAAAAGTAGCAACACGCAACATCAAATGGGTAACATAAGTGAAAGATGGCAATTCTCAGTAACAATAAAAAGAAAATGTGGAAATGTGACAATATTGTAATAAAAATGGAGAATGTCTTTGATAAGCTCATTAGTAGATTGGACAAATAGATTACACAAAATAATTAAAACAATCACAAATGTTTATGCATCATACACTATAACTAAGGCATAATAAAAATTTCTATAAGGAAAAAAAGAAGTACACAACTCAACGGAAGTAGTGAAAGATTTTACCATGCTTCTTTCAAATCAAGCAGACAATAAAAAGTGAAAGATACAGAACTTTAATGACACAAGTAACATGACATATAATAATTGAGATTTTATAATTGGTTAAAAAGAAAATAAATTTACCAAAACATAAAATAATCCATAGATAATCTTATCAAAACCCCCAATTATTTGCCCCTACCATAGGTGACAGTGGCTATTTATAAGGCCACAACGAATAATTCAACTAATTCCATGCAAAGGAAACCATATAGCCCTGATTTTTAAGCCAAAATTCAATAAACTAGAAGTTGACTATAAATAACTGGAACATAATACAAACACATAAACTCCTTTACTTACAAAATTAAAACATACTTCCAAATGAACTTGAGTCAAAGAGCTTATTAAAACTAGAAACATAAACTTTAGAAAGTAATCATGAATATTTATATTTCAAAAGTAATGGACTTAATCCAAAGCAGTATTGAAAAGAAAATTTATAACTATAAATGCATTTATTATAACACAATAAAATTTTAAATAAATGGTTTAAGGATTCAATCCAAGATATGATTTTTGAAAGGTTATTTCCTTTAAATATAAAAGGAAACAAAATCAAAAGCAAAAATAAATTAAAATAAATAATGAATTATACAAATCAAGTAAAATAACTTCTGGTCAAGCCTAATCAAAACAAAAAATATTAGAAACATTATTAGTAAAAAGAAAAGAAACAAAGTGTAAAGATAAAGTTTAAAAGCAATAGGATGACATTCAAGGAGATATGTAAATGATCAAAATTGACTCAAGAAGACTTAAAAAAACACAAAATACCAATAGTCATAGAATGTATTACTAGATTTTCTATTGCAAAGGTTGAGAAACTTTTTTCTGTAAATGGCTAGATAATGAATATTTGAGACTTTGCCAGCCGTGCTGTCTCTGTGGCAAATACTCAACTCCCACATTGCAGCATGAAACCAGCCAGGGGCAATTCATGGGTAAGACTGTAATCCAAAAATACAGGTGGCAGGATGGAACTGGCCTGAGGGTACTAGGTTACTCGCCTGTATCTAATGTCAACTCAGATCCTTGCCACTCTTTGCTAAGATCTCCTCTGCATTTCAGAAGAGAATCCTGAAATAATGTTTTCCAGAATCCATTTACCAGGGTGGTTGTCGGTTAGCGACTACCCATGAAAGAAACTCACATGTGATATAAATAGTGAAGCAGGCAGAAGTCATAGTTGTTGAGAGTAAACTGCAGGCAGTCCATCAGTGCTTGTGACTGGGTGGGTTGTTTGCCCAATTCTGGAATTCAGTTAGCAAGCCCATTTGGCTCTCATACCAAGCTACATCCTGTAGCTTAGATATTTCCAGTAAAAATAGATATCTTGACCTCCACTTCCATTCCTTTGTTTTCTTTATTAATTTGTTTAGAACTCCTGAAAAGAAGAATGGTCCAGTTGGGAGAACACCACAAGATACCAACAGTTTTTTTTTTTTAAACCTTCAGTAACAGATAATACTTATAGTGAATGTAACATATGAGAATGTTGTATTTACCATAGATATTTAAAAATAGGTAGCATATTTCAAAAGGCAGAAGTTTTCAGTGCAGATAAAATGAGAAAATGTAACTTTAAAAAATTCTGTGTATAAGAGGAACAAGAAAAATAAAAACTTAGGAATAAAACCTAATATAAATAAGCAAAATCTACATCAGTAAAACTGTAAAACTCTATTGAAGCATGTAAAGAAAGAACAAAGTAAGTAAACAGTCATATCATAATCCTAAATGGAAATGATCAATATTATGAAGATGTTAACACTTTCCAAATTAATCTGTAAAGCCATGGAATTATCAATATGATAAGAATGTTCACACTTTCCAAATTGATCTATAAAGTCAATGACATCCTCAAACACATCCAAACAAGATTTCTCTGTGGAACTCAAATTTATTATTAGAACACCTGGAAGAGAATACCATAAGAATATGCATAAAAATAATACCTAAAATCATGTTTTTGAAACCATTATACAAGGATTTCTCAACCTCAGCACAGTGGAAATTTGGGGCAAGTTACTAATTCCTTGTTGTGGAAGGCTGTCCTGTGTATTTTGGATGTTAGCAATATTCCCTACCTCCACCAACTGAATGACAGTGAGATCCCATGCCTCAGTTTTAACAACCAAAAATGGATCCAGACATTGCGAATTCTCCTGGGGCAGCGAATACTCTATTCCCCTAGCTGAAGCCACTGCAGTATAGATACAAAAGATCAATGAAACAGGAGAAGGGTCCGGAAATGATTTCATGTATGTATGGGAATTTAATTTATGATAAAGGTGGCATTTCAAATTAGCATGGAAAAGATGAACTCATCAATAAATAAGCTTGAAATAATCAACTCTACATTTGGAAAAAAAAAGTGTTAAATCATTTTTCGCACCAGCACCAAAATAAAATCCATGTGGATTAGAATCTAACTGTTAAACAACAACTACAACGAACAACCCTTGGGCCCGCGAATTTGCAGAGGCAGAAAAAGTAAAGTGTGTTGTGAAGGTGATTCCACCACCAGGGAGAGCGCACTCCTCAATTCTCAATTTAGAAGCAGCCGTGGAGAGGAACGGACAAGGAATAACTTTCAAAAAAGCCCAGCCAGGAACCACAAAGTACTTGGACAAGAAAGTATGTCCCAGCAAGCAGAATCAGCGACTCATCAAGAAAGTTCTGGAAAGAAAGATCTGGAAATGCAGCCCGCTAGAATTTCAGCATTGCTGAAAACTGGCATTTACTATGTGTTTTCTAATTTTTCTTTTTTTCTCTCTCTCTTTTTTTTTTTAGTTTTTTATTTTGTTTTTTTTTTTAGTTTTTTTTTTTTAAATTATACTTTAAGTTCTAACTAAACACCGCATGTTCTCACTCATAGGTGGGAACTGAACAATGAGAACACTTGGACACAGGAAGGGGAACACCACACACTGGGGCCTGTCATGTGTTTTCTAATTTTTCTTTTTCCAAATGGGAGTGTTTATTATGGTATTCTACTCCAATATATTGTAGGTTTTTGTGTGAGGTGGGGGGGGGATAGGGAAGAGCAGATAACTTGTTTTTTAAGTTCATGGATAACTAGATCACAAGGAGCCACATCTGGACTTCATGGAGAAACAGCACATGACCTAGACATCCCTGCACTTTGAACTTGATGAAATTTTCTTGTCTCCCTTGGGGAGGAGATGTGGTAAACTTGTACCGTGCCAGTCTAGCAAACCACAAAATTCTGAGAATTCCCTTCCCTGCAAAGTTTCAGGTTAGCTTGTGCCACAAGAAGCATTTTGTATGAGATTCCGAAGGGAACAGGAAGCAGCAGCCCGATTCTTTGCATGCTCGGGTCCACTCTAGAGGTCCAGCACTGCTGCAGCTCACAATGCAGCGATCTGCCAGCTCCCCTCCTTGGTTTGAGGCGGCAGCCAGCCAGCAGCTTCTTCCGTTCCCGACAGATCTCCTCCTTCAGCTTCTCTGGTTCTGGGGCAGGTGTGTGTGTGGCTCCATGACAAAGGACTCCAGCTTCTGCCAGAGGTCACACTCAGTGTCATAGCTGGCGTCTTCAAGGCGTTGAGAAAACAATGCAGGGTTCATCTTGTCCTTGGCGGGTCCAGTTTGGTGTTGTTCATTCCCATTTCGTTTTCTTCTGTCTTCCTCTAGTATTTGTTTGGCTGACCTTAGGCCCAGCCTCAGGTGCTGAAGTAATCGCTGTCTAGCAGCTGCTTAATATAGAAAGCGAATTGCCTATAATAAATCCTATGGTTTAAAATGTTCCCTGTGGCTCTGCTCCTCTGATTAAACTCCAATACAGAAGATTAGTATGTTCTGTGGATGAGAAGAGTAAGGGCATCTTTGGTGACCAGAGGGCAGACTGTCAGATTCCAGAAACACACCCACCAGAGCACATAGGGAGGGAGAAGCTTTTGTCAAAGAACACGGTGTAACAAAAAGGAGGACAGCATGGCTATAAATGGCAGGTTGAATGGAGAGATGAAAATGCTACCTTATCCTTTAGATAGGAGGCATGATTATCTGGTAAGGTAGGAGGCCGGGAGAAGGAAAGTGGGGCTTTTCAGAATAGAGGAGGTATATGAAATAGCTGCTGCACACTGGTTACTTGACTAGAGTATCTACAGAATAATAATACCAAAAGTTTATTGAAGGGATATTGCAGCCATTGTATAGGCATTTTCTATACAAGAACACATTCAATCCTCACTAAACCCTTACAGGTGTGCCATTGTTATTTTATTTTTATAGATGAAAAAACTGAGGCACAGAGAAAATAAGTACCTAGCCCAATGTAATATTTTCAAAAAACTAGCCAATATTCCAAAAAATATCTTATGCTAGAAAACTATAATTCTTGGCACATAAATTTCCAATGGACTATTAGATATTTTCATTCCCATTTTACAGGTAGGCATAATGAGGCCCAAGGAAGTTTACTACTGTGCCCAGGTTATATACCAAAAATGCTAAATTAAGATTTGTTATGAGTGATAATAACACTGGCAACCAGAACCCTAAGGATTTATAGTTTTAGACTATTCATAATATATATAATGAATATTTTATTTATGTATATGTACAAATACATACATACACATTTATATAACACCTATGTATTACATTACATTAATACATTAATATGTGTTACAGATAAAAATCAGAGGCTAAGAGTATATAAAGTGACATCTTAAGTAAACTTGGAAATTGAGGGATATGATTGTTAATTTTATGTGTCAACTTAGGGGCTAAGAGAAACGTGTCTTTTTCTTTTTTTTTTTTTTTTTTTTTTTTTTTTGAGATGGAGTCTCACTCTGTCTCCCAGGCTGGAGTGCAATGGTGCGATCTTGGCTTACTGCAACCTCTGCCTCCCAGGTTCAAGCGATTCTCCTGCTTCAGCCTCCTGAGTAGCTGGGACTACAGGCCCGTGCCACAATGCCCGGCTAATTTTTTGTATTTTTAGTAGAGACTGGGTTTCACCGTGTTAGCCAGGATGGTCTCGATTTCCTGACCTCATGATCCGCCCGCTTCGGTCTCCCAAAGTGCCAGGATTACAGGCATGAGCCACCGCTCCCATCTGGGAAATGTGTCTTTTTTTGTCGAGATTAATCACTAACCTGTGTAGTGTGAAATGGGCCCTGTGTAGTTAACTTTCCACCCAGTGACTTGTAGATGTCTTCAGTGAAAGATAACATAGGGGGATGAGTGTTAGTGATATGGTTGAATGTGTGTCCCGCCCAAATCTCATATTGAATTGTAATCCCCAGCTTTGGAGGTGATGCCTGGTGGGAGGTAATTAGATCATGGGGGCAGGTTTTCATGAATGGTTTAGCACTATCCCCTCGGTACTGTTCTTGTGACAGTGAGTGAGTGAGTTATCATGAGACTCCTGTTGCTTGGAAATTGTGTGGCACCTCCCCGCTCTATCTCTTAGTCCTGCTCCTGCCATGTAAGATGCCTGCTCCTGCTTTGCCTTCTGCCATGAGTAAAAGCTCCCTGAGGCCTCCCCAAAGGAAATGCTGCCATGCATCCTGCACAGCCTGTGGAATTATGAGCCAATTAAACCTCTTTTCTCTATAAATTACCCAGTCTCAGGTATTTCTTCAGAGCAGTGTGAGAAGGAACTAATACAGCTGGTTTCTGCTCTGGCAGACTAAAAATTTGGTAGTAAGAGTAGATGGTTTGGCCTTGGTAAGTGGCAGCCCATGCTCTGGGGCTCATGCATTTTCCCTATCTCTTGTACCATGACTATTCCATCATATATCCATATGTCAGCATTGGATTGGTGGGTACAGCAGCTGGCCGACATCAACTGGCTGAGTGACTTTGTCTAGCTTGATAAGTGACTCTTTCTTTCTAGATGTTCTTTGGTGATCATTAACATGTAATACAGAGATTTTCACATGTTGTAACCACTCTCACATGTCCATCCAAATGCTCCTGCTCAAGAATTCCGTATCTCAAATCTTTCAATCTTACCACTCCCAGCTCCCAGCAGGGAGACAAGCCATTTGCCACTGACCATGAATCCATATATTTCTAATTTAGAGCCATTTATCTTTTTACACAAAGTTAATTACCAGGTACTTGCCAAAAACTCTTTCCACTGAAAAATTTTCCCACATACCAGGCTGTCCCACACTGGAATCAAGCTTGCCTTTTTCTCCTCCCATTTGGCCATAAGTATGAGCTGAGAGAGACACACTGTGCAGCAGTGGTAGATGGCATGGGGATCTGAGCTGCATCGTTGGGCAACTAGCTTGTGCCTTTCATTCCTGCTCATGCTTACTCCCCAGATGCACCACTCCCATCTCACAGTGGATTGTTTCTAAGGTCATTTGACATCCTTACATGGCAGAACTGATAGAACTCAGCTTATGAAGGGCAGTTCTGGCCCCGTGGTCACTCGATTTTTACGAGACCACAGTAATACACCAAAGGCTACTTTTGAAAAGGCATGTACTTATTTACCGAAGGTGACATGGCCTTGCTACAGAGCCCTAAGGGTCTATGTTACAATTTTTCTCATTGGGATTTTCCATAAACTCATCATAGCGTATTTCACTACTGGTACATTAAACATCATTACAGAGATTTTTAGAGACTATAGGGTTGCTACAGAGCCCTTTTCTGCTTGGGTCCTATTCAAAGGTGGAAGACTCTTGTGTTACCTGGTATAAAAGTCAGAGCAGTATTCCTAGATGTGGCACATGGTGCTTTCTTAGCACAAACGGGCCTACCTAGTATTGTCCTTCCTTCTTTGTAATAGGAAATACAGAATGCAATAATTTATCTTTTAATGTGGAGAGTAAAGGATCGCTCGACCCCTAAATGTTTTACTGATGTGATGGATCCCTGAATCACTGTGAGTTTACCACTATTTGTAACACATGGATCTTACCAAGGCCTCTAATCACCTAGGCACTTCTTGCTCATCCAGTCCAATCAAGATAATGGCATCAATATAGTGGGTCTGTATGATGTGTGGAATATCCAGAGGATCTAGATCACTTTATACTGTAACAGTGCAAAACAGTTATCATAGTCTTGGGACAAAACTATACCTGTCTATTCCAAATAAATGCAAAGTGTTTATGATCCTCTTTTCTGATAAGAATAGAGCCTGTAATCCCAGCTCTTTGGGAGGCTGAGATGGGCAGATCACGAGGTCAGGAGATGGAGACCATCCTAGCTAACACGGTGAAATCCCATCTCTACCAAAAATACAAAAAATTAGCCGGGCGTGTTAGCGGGTGCCTGTAGTCCCAGCTACTCGGGAGGCTAAGGCAGGAGAATGGCGTGAACCCGGAAGGCGGAGCTTGCAGTGAGCCGAGATCGCGCCACTGCACTCCAGCCTGGGCAACAGAGCGAGAATCCGTCTCAAAAACATAAACAAATAAATAAAAGAACAGAGGAGAACATATTCATCAACTCAATGGCCATATACCATACACCTGCTATGCTACTTTAGCACCAATAAGCACATCTGGCCTAGCAGCTGCAACTGGGACTACTACTTGGTTGGCTTTGTAGTAGTCCACTGTCATCCTCCAGCCAGGCAGCACATGATCCAGCTCTGAAATCACATTTTAGCGTCTGCTTGTTTGAACACTCCTTGGCACTAACTGCTGCAATCTGGCTTCCATGTGAATCAGCCTCTGAGAAGAAGATTAGATTGCCAGACGTTTGTTAAGAATTGCTCTTAGGATTTCACAACTGTAGAAGAGTTATAAAAGAAACAGAATTTCAGAGAAGGAAAATGCTGTCCCAATAAAAGCTTCTGTGGATTCCATGGAGAGATATGGAGCTGGGATGACCTTCTGAAGTCGTCCTGAGTTGAGGAGAAGGGACTTGGTCTTTACATCCCTATGTTGGATGCAGGCTAACCCTGGAAGTAAGTGTAATCTTGAGTGAGCCAATTTTCTTCAGCTGAGACAGTTCCCATAGAGGGCTGACAGTTGAGAATCATCTTCCAGTAGCATTTCCAGCATCTGAGACAATAAGTCCTTCATGTATTAAGGGAGATACGGGCTTCTCATAGCTCAAAGCACCCACCACTATCAGATGACTGTATGTGGGGGACAGTTCTGGCCTTTTTATGTTGTTCCATTGTTCAACTTGTCTATTCTTGCACAAATATCAAATTGTTTTAATTACTATAGCCTTAGAATTGGTCTTGATATTTGATAGGGTCTAGGATTGTTTTCCTCCCTTAATATTGTATTGCCAATATTGGTCTTCTCTAATAAGTTTATCAATTTTGATTTTTAAAAAAATCTGCTGGGATTTTGGTTATGATTGCATTGAATCTACACATTGTCTGGAGAAAATTGACATCTTTATATTATGCCTCCCAATATCATACCTTCCAATAATCATGAATCATCTCTGCATTTATTTAGTCTTCTTTAAACTTAATGAGAATTTTAACTCCTAGTATAAAGATTTTGAACATATTTTGATATATTTTTTCCTTGATATTTGATGTTTGTTGATGTTAATGTAATGATATCAATTTTTCATTTCACTTTTTTGTTGTTTTGTTACTGGAATGAAATGTTTGTGAATTGAACATATACCCAATAACTTTGCTAAATTTACTTATTAATTCTGATTATTTGCAAGTTGTTTACATTTTCTAGGCACATGATCATTAGGCCTGTGAATAATGATGGTTTTATTTCTTTTTTTCTAATTATGTCTTTTTTCTTGCCTTATTTTACTGGCTAGATTTGCAATACAATATTGAATGCAATATTAATAGTGAACATCTTTTTCTAATTCCTAATTTCAAGAGATCATTTTTCAATATTTCCCCATTGTATAAGATTTCTGCACTAGGTTTTTTATAGATATTCTTATAGATTATGTGTAGGTTAATATGTTTCCCCTATTCCTAGTATTTTTGGAGTTTTATCATAGATAAATGTTGAATTTTGTCAAATGATTTTTCTAAATACATCAAAATAATCATGCACTTTTCTCCCCTTTCTTCTTTTTTCTTTGGTATGATCAATTTTACTGATTGATTTTTCAATGCTAAACTAAATTTGAATACGGGAAAAATCCCATCTGATATTTTATATATGTAGACAAACGCTAAACTTTAAATGCTCATATTTTATTAAGGATTTTATTAAAGATATTTGCGTCTATGCTCATGATTGGTCAGTAATTTACCTTTCTTGTAATTTCTTTTTTAGGTTTTGGAGTTAAGATTTGGGTGCTAATCTCATAAAAAGAACTAGAGACTATTCACTGTTTTCAACTTCCTGAAAGAATTGATGTCTGATTTATGTTATTTCTTATTTGCATTTATTCTTTTTATGTTTGCAAAGATGCATCAATGATTCTATCTGAGTCTAGGATTTTCATAATTGTGAGAAGGTTTTTAAATAATGTGTTCAATTGTTAGACTATTAAAGAATGACATTTAATCCCTAAATATTTGAGTGTGTGCTTTTTACCAAGTGTTGTATTGAATGAATGTTATGTATCATTGTGATAGAGGTCGATGAGGGTATTAGTCCGTTCTCACACTGCTATGAAGAATACCTGAGACTGGGTGATTATACACAAAAGTTTAATTGACTCACAGTTCTTTATGGCTGGAGAGGCCACAGAAAACTTACAATCATTGTTTAAGGTGAATGGAGAAGCAAGGCACATCTTAACATGGCAGCAGGAAAGAGAGAAGAGCACAGGGGAAACCATCCCCATGATCCAATCACCTCCCACCAGTTTCCTCCCTCAACACATGGGGATTACAATTTGGATTACAATTGTTGATGAGATTTGGGTGGGGACACAGCCAAACTATACCAATGATACATGGTGATCCTATGTTGAAGATACAGAGGTGAGAGGTAAGCACGTACCTGCACTTGTGAAATGTATATTCTGGGGAGAGGAGGGCAGACTTGTCAACAAAACAGTAATAAATACAAAATTTCAATTTTGGTGAATTCCAAGCAAAAGTTCATGGTGTCATGAAAGTTAAAAATTGAATGATTTTATCTCATTTAGACATATCAGGAACAACTTCCAGGAGCAAATGACATTTGTAAATAATTAAATGTTCCCCCTTATCTTTACTTAACACATTTTTGTTATTTCTTTCATTGTAAAAGAATATTTTCTTAATATAGCTGTTCTTCTGAAAAGCTACTCTTCTAACTTGGGTTGTACATTCAATCACGCCTCTATTAGAGTCTCAAATGTCCATATTAGGAGGAAAGCTGGATTCTTTCTGCGCTTTCACCTC
Organism: Homo sapiens; assembly: GCF_000001405.40. NCBI lineage: Eukaryota > Metazoa > Chordata > Mammalia > Primates > Hominidae > Homo > Homo sapiens. The sequence goes on along the minus strand of NC_000004.12, from coordinate 157,045,788 downwards.
TCCCTACTCAAATGGGACAGCTTGATTTCTCACTATTCTCTACTGCCATTGCTTCTCCCTACCACATGGTGTCCCTGTTGACAACTGGTCCTCCACAGTCAGCTAGGTGATTGACTCCATGAATCTCCAAAGCATTCTAGTCTCAGAATTAAAATGAAACAAGGATCTCAACTTCTGGGATTCACATAATCCAGCTACCTGTGCTCATCTCTCTCAGCTATATTCAGCCATCTCTCAGTCTCTGAGAGTACTGTTTCAAAATTTTCACAGCAATTGTCTTTGTAGCTCTGGAGTGGTACCTGGATGCCTAGAGGTATAACTTCACTTTATAACTCTAAAAACTCAAAAAGCCCTATATACCCCTCCTGTCAAATTCACCCTCCTACCCTCCTAAAGATTGTTTGACTAAATGTCCTGAGCCTATACCATCTAAAACCTCGAAGATGCTTGTATAGCTCCTTTCCTACACCAAGGACGCTATTATGTTCAGAAAAAGAGAGGGACCTATTTTCAGATCTCAAGGGAGATTTATCCTCCTAAGAATTACTGAAATAAGGTTCTAGCACTTCCATCATTAGGTCAAAGAAAGGAAAAAACAAAAACAAGTTTAATATATGGTATGCGTGTTATATATACACACACACACACACACACGTTGTTTAATTAAACTTCCTTTTGTTCTAGGTAACAGTAGTGTGGAGAAAATATACTGATTATTTATAATCTTATGAAAATACTTCAGTTATTTAACAAAAACCATCAGACCGCTCCGTGGGCTTTTCTTCTCTGCTATAAACAACAAGGTTCTTTAAACCTTTCCTAAGGTCACTATTTTCTAAACATTATTCATTTTTCTCATTCTTCCCTGATTTTTTCTGGTTTGTCCACATCTTTTAAAAAGCACAGTGACCAAAAGTAGCCACAATATCCTAACAAATAGCTCATGAATGCATAATATGGCAGAGAGATTACTTCCAAATGCTTCATGAATTATTCCTTTTAATAAATTCCAGAATCCTAGTTGCTTGGGGTCAGCATCAACACCCAAGGATTTTCTTTTCCGTGTTTGCCTAGTCAGTCCTTTCCATTTATTTATTCCTTTAGTAAATTTTAATCCTGTTTTAAAAACCAGTATTTTTGCTAATGTCACCTTCATTCTAATTTTCGTATGTCAGAATAATGGAAAGATTTCTAAATATTACATTCTTCCGCATCTCAAAGTCTATATATGCTAGATTGATTATTCAGTAGTTTCAAATTATTGAGTTTTAAAATATTATAGTACTTTGTATTTTCCCTTCCAAATTATAACATTTACAAAGAAAAGCACGATTAAGACAATAATTCACAATTGCCTTCTGATTTGGGGCAAATTAAATTGCATTTACTCCTACTTTAGCAATAATGCAGCAATGTCGTACAAAACAAAGACCCAGTTCTGTTACAATTGAGCACTTTTTTCAACAAAGTGCTATCACTACAGAGAATTTTTTCTTGTAATTTAATTTAAATAATGTATTTATTTTTGTACAGATGGAGTCCCGCTGTGTTGCCCAGGCTGGTCTCGAACTCTTGTTCTCAAGCGATCTTTCTGTCTCAGCCTCCTAAAGTGCTGGGATTACAGGACTGAGCCACTGCACCTGGCCTCTTTTAGTTTTATGTACCAAGACAGCTATGTGCTTGGAAGAAATAGGTTAATCAAATCATTTCTGCATGTTCTTTATAGCATCATTATTTTATGTTAAGGTCATGGATGTAAATTCCACACCATATCACCCCATTCAGAAAATATTAATAGCAAAATGTATTGGATTGTTCTATAATTCATTGAATGAAATACCTTCTAATCCCTAGATCTTGAAATGACTTTAGAAATAATCAAATAAGACCCCACAATGAGAAATATGAGGTTCAGGCAGTTTTTAAGAGATTCGCCCAAAATCAATTAGTTAGTAATCAAAAAGTGGATTGAAAACTAGTTATTCAGATGCAAAATCTTAAGTTATTTCTTCTACACAACATCATCTCCAGAATTTTCCATTTCAAAAACTTTTAATAAAATGTAGAGTTAAATATGAAAATATATAGAAGTTTTAAATCTATGAACTTAAGCACCAATGAGATGTAGCTTTATAGCAGAAATATGTTTTATTAGTATTGAATAGTTTGTTGTAAATACTATTTGTAATGAGACCCAAATGAATTTTGATATGCATAATCAAATAATGTAATAAACAAGCATTGTCAATGACTGCTTTGTAATTGTGCTGTTTTTTCAACTTTGTCATTCAGTTCCCAATCTATCCTTTTATATAGTGTGCTCTGTAAAGCTGGAACCACAACTCTGCAAATTACACTTCAAGGACTTCTTTACCAGTGGCATCACTTTAAGTTCCACCAATAGGAGGAACTAGAGGGCGATTAGGAGATAGGAGGAGAGGGGAAGGGACTTTTTTACTCCTGTTTGCTTGTAGTGCCTGTCAGCAGCACCCCAGCAGTGACAGTTGATTTCAGCATTCAGCCTTTTCCGCTTCACTTTTCCTGCTCAGAGGTATCAGCTGCAGCCAGGCAGTGCCCACTACTCAGAGGTCTGCTACTGGGTTCTGGTTACTCTATTATCTTCCCTTTCTTTCCCAGTCCTGGGGGTGAGAGCTACTTCCTGCTCTTACTTCATGTGGTTTGCTTCAGTGCTTCCCTTTGCTCCCAAACCCTCCAACAACTGGTTAACAAATTTCCTATATTAAATCTCTCCATATTTAAAAACTTTTGATCTCCAACAGAGTACCCAAATCAAGAGGAAGCCTTGACATTTTGTTTCTCTTTATTAATCAGAATGTTGTACTATTAAATTCAGAATTCTCTACTATTTGAGAGAAGGGGAGAAAAAATTGATAGACTTAATTTCTAAGTATCTACCTTCTCTGGAATAAAGTCCTCTACAGATAATCAGTCATGTGAAATAACATATCTTCCACCAAAAGTAGATTCTAAAGTCACGTGCAAAACCAAAATAGGGTCCAGTGAAATTATCCTTGAAAATCCCTTAACAGTTCATTAATACAGTACATGTAGTTTTGAGTAAAATACTACGTTTAAAATATTTGACTAAAATATGCATAAAATGAACATTGTATTTTACTAGTACCTATGCAAAATATAATTTAAATAATTCTATTTAAATTCTCAGTTTTTGAACATTTGTCAAAATCTTACAGTTCAAATTTAGAAGTGGATTTATACAATCTACTGGATCACTGAATTATGCAACTAAGTCAGGTATTTGTAGAGTTGTGAGAAAATGTAGAAATTAAAATGTTATTTGTTCCCTAGGATATAGTTTTGGAATCCAAGAAACATAATGTTAGCTAGCCAAGTTTTAGTTGTCTAGAAATATAAGACCTTTAAAAAATGGTGATATAAGCATATAAGTACCGTGTTAATTAGAAATGATTTAATGTACTTCTACACATCTATTTTATAAGGATTCCTAGGAGGATTTAATAACTAGAGTGAATTTGAACATAAAATAAATGTTTATAATTGTCTATTAATTTTCAAATGGATATGATATTACTCTGGAAATACTTGTAAAAATACTCTTGTTTTTAAAAACTGTTGCTATTAACTTTTACAAAAGATAGTTTTCATCATATAGATGCAACATATCATAAAGATACAGAAAAAGACTTCGTTTTTTTAAATGCAAGGTTTTACAGGAATTTTTCTATATAGTCTTAAGTTAATCTTTTTTGTAGTTAATTTTTATCTAGATAAATTCTTGTGATTCCTGCAAATGCTATGTTATTAATAATTTGTTTTATGGACAATTTTATTTTCACTCAGAATTTACATCACTATCATTTTGGCTTTTCATATGTTTATTCAACTATGTTATTCTCTATGCATTTATTCTATGATTTTAGAAAAACTGTTTTCCTGAACCAGCAGTATAAACAACTATGGCAAATGATTTACTTAATTATACAAGATAACTAACAAAATTAAAAATATGTAAATTATAATCCAGCTATTACCCTCACCATAAACTGTGTGATAGTAAAGTGGATATTGAAAAAATTATTTTCAACACCTGTGACAAGGGAAAAAGTTTTTAAAAAGAAAAAAATTAAAGGATAATTCAGACCAAAAATTACTTCCTCATAAATATTAAAAATATAGAAAAAATGGCGTGATTATTTAAATCATCTTTATTCATATATGGAAAGTCTGTGTTGCTTTGTGTACTTTGCTTGGTATGACTTTTGTATTAGTCTTTAAAATTCACTAAGCTTCAGACTTTAAATATAGGGTTCTTGACTGAGTTAGAAAGCTCTTCTACAACTAATAGTCTCCCAATATAATAGTCCTGGGCAAAATAGCACATAGATAAAATTTGAGTCTCTTCTTTTACCTTCTTTCTCTATTACTTTGCTTTCCACCTAGGACATGTTGGAGCTCCAGGAAGCTCAGATTGTTTACTTGGCGCCCTGACTAAACCTGTCATCCATAGGTAGTGCTTCAGCATTATCCTTTCCTTTTTATTCCCAGTGACATTCCTCAAAATGCATGCAACCCATCACAGCTGGAGGTAAATAATCTGATAAAAAGATTCATATATTTTCATGTTTATAAAAATTACTCCAAGACTTCACAACTTAGAAATTAATATTTGGAGATGATATGATTTCAGATAAAGTAATACATTTGTAGTAAAATGTTAGTGCAGCAGACCGCTTGGGAACCAGTTGAAGAGTTTGAGTTTCTATGACATATATATATATTTTTAATATCCTGCCTTTCAGCTTTGAAAAGTAATATCAAATATAGCAAGAGGGGAAAGGTCTCTGATAAGGATGAGCAAGGGGAATGATCTTTATGACGGTCTATGAACTTAGAAGTTTGAAAATTTTTACTTCATTGCAAACAACTTCTTCACTTGTTAGGTTGGTAAACTGTAATTCTTGAACTGAAAAGGCCAAGCCAGAAGAAAAAGAAAATTAATCTCACTTCAGAGAAAGACATGGGTGATAGTCCTCCTCATAAAATAATGTGATTATTTTCTGTTTGGCCACCAAAAAGTATATTTTTCAAAAAACTTAAAGATGGAATTTTGGCATGATTTTATAAAACTTGAGCCAGATTATCTTATTTTATTTGGATCCCTGGTTTATCTCAAGAGTTGGAATTCAGGGCCAGCCCATTTGTGAAACTTTCTAATTATCTTCAGAGCCTGAACTAAGCCCTACACATCTTTACAAGAACTGCTTATCCCAGAATCTTGGCAGTTTTGTAAAGAAATGGTTACCTTCAAGAAAAAGTATGCAGAACATAATTATAGTCAAATAGTCTACCTAACAAGACTCACAGTACTAATTATGATATTTGACATGTTAATACTTTTCATTGTCACAAACACAATTTACTATTAATGAAATAATTCATGAGATGTCATACAATATATGTGAAACAAGATTTTCTCAGTTTCGAAAGTATCTACAGTGAGCAGCTTTGCAACTTGGGGAACTGAATTGTTTTAATGATTGTATAATATATCAAATATCTTTAAGTTGGTATACACAATGCGGGTACATGTTATTTATTATCTTTGCTTTATTAGATTACCCCCATTAAGTTTGTTACAAGTGTAGATATGTAGTTCTACTCATTCAGTAGAATTTTGCAAGGGGTTGACCCCTTCATGTTGGGAAAAATATTTTTATTATTCCAAAATGTGGTCCCTCATGATGAGCAGGATTTTGCTTGTGATTTTCTTTTGCTGCATTCTTTTTTTTTTTTTTTCTGAGAATCCCAACAAGATAAGCATGGTTTCAGAGTTTAAAAGAAGCTTGTGTTCAAACAATTATAGCAAATGGTTAACTTATTTAATTATACAACTGGGAAAATTGTAAATGTAGAATAATTATTGCTATTAAACTATTAAAATAAACTTATAAGGACTTAATTGTGGTTCTAGCATTGAATAAAAAGAAAATCTGAAATAGAGTCCTGATCTCTAGGGGTATACATCTCAAAAATTAGGCACATTTTAACATTATGCATCTTCAACGAAGTTAATATTCAAATAATACTAAAAATAATAAATAATAAAAAAACTCAAAAATGACCTCTTTATAGCACTGATGTATCTACATATGCAATCCTAGATATCGTGTAAAAAGTGCAGATCATGATTCAGTAAGTTTGGGATGGTGTCTACATGTCTATTTCTCTAAGAAATTCCCACATGATGTTGACACTGCCCGTCCGTGGAACACGCTTTGAATACTGAGGCACTAGAATAGCACTAACCAATAGAACTTTCTGCAATGATGAAACTATTCAATAGCTGTGCTTTCCAATATGATAGGCAGACATAGATAGCTATTGAGACTAGACATGTGGGTAGTGGGACTGAAATTTTACTTTCAGTTGAATCAATTTGCCTATATATTGCCATGTATATCTAGTGACTGTCTTATTGGAGACTGCTGCTGAAAACTGCCTAACAGTTAATACAGTATCCTTAGATATCCAACTTATAGTCTAAGAACTAAAGGAAGCTACTTCAGTAAATAAATATAATGTTCTGAATAATCAGCTTTTTGTAATAAGAGACATATCTTCTAAACTAGGGAAAATAGTTGTTGTTTGGAGGTAAATTTGAAGAATTAAACACATGTTTAGCACAAAATAGCACTGCTAGTGAAAGGCATGCATTCTCAAAAGGCGGATAGTATCACCAACAAAATAAAAGTTGGTTCTTATTGAGGGGGCAAAAATATTTAGATGTTACAATGGTTTGTACCCTTCCAAATCTCAAACTTACCTGGGAAAATCTTATTCCTTAGTATTTAGTTTATCTCATTAAAAAGACTTTCCATTTATTTTTTTCTCTTTAGAGGGCTGATCATGTAAAAAACGACTGATAAACACTGGTCTAAGTAAGTATCATGATAAGGTGTACCTGAATTTGAATCAGTTCATTTATTTGACAGCTCCCTAAATGGCTTGCAAAATAATATAATTTCACTTTTTAACTGTCAGAAAGTGTCATAAATGGGACAGTTTTAGGGGACGACTTTCTCTAAGTGGGACTTGAATTTTTTTTTTTTTCATTTTTTGAGACAGGTTTTCTCTGTTGCCCAGGCTGGAGTGCAGTGTGGCACAGTCCCAGCTCACTGCAGCTTCCATCTCCTGAGACTAAGGCAGTCCTCCTACCTCAGCCTCTCTAGTATCTGGGACTACAGGCGCATGCCACCACGCCTGGCTAATTTGTTGTATTCTTTGTAGAGATGGGTTTCGCCATGTTGCCTGGGCTTATCTTGAACTCCTGGGCTCAAATTATCCACCTGCCTCTACTTCCCAAAGTGCTGGGATTACAGGCAAGAGCCACTGCCCGTCCTTTGATTTTTTTTAAGAAAGCTTGCCAGGCATTTCTCACTTTCCTTTGAAGAAACAAAAAGTTAAGGGGGAAAGGAAAGATATACAATTAGTGTGGACTTATGAAAAATGTCACAAGATACATTCGTGATAAAATTAAAAGTCAGTTGTAATTTTTTGACAGTTAAATCAACTTGAGAAACATTAAGATCATTACCAAACTGTTGAGATGCTCACCTCCTTGCTTAAGACTTGAACTGTGCAATTAGTTTAGGAAGTCCACATATTCTGCCTGTGCAAGCTAAAACACTCAATGATAAGATCTGTATACACCAAAAACCCAAATGTGAAATATCTGTGGACCAGAATTTGAGGTTACTGCAGTGCTGTGGCAAGGAGCAAAAGCTCTCAAGGATCATGAAGAGGAATTTTGAAATTGCCATTTCCTCAATGTTGTTGGCTAGCCTATTAAATGATAACATTTTCCTAACTGTGAGCTTAAGCAATAACAATTTCTGGTATCAGGGGAGGCGTGATTTAGTCTGCACTGATGACTGTCCCCATGTTCTATGGAATATTTGATAGAAATATGACTTATAGTTAGTGGTGTGCTAGTACATGCTTAACAACCAGCTCTTTGGGGAGACAAAATCCATGATTTATAGAATTTTCCAGTTGTCGTAAAATACTCCCAGTATGTCTAACAAGACATTGCTGAATATGGAACTGGACGAGATGTATGGTATCACTGAATTCTACAGTATTTCTACCATACAGATACAATAGGCATAAATCACCTCAGAAGAATAGATAATAGTAAAGTGCAGTAAAATAATTAAAAGTGATGAGTTTTAATTATTTATTACCGGTTATTTTAATATAATGCATTTAATTGTAAGTTATATTAATTAATTTTTGCTAATAATTCTTTTTAACAACCGGTTCACAGAATATCTAACAAGATGTAACAGTCAAATCTTGTGAGAAGGTATCAGTAGGTTCCAGCACACCACTGCCTGTGACAACAACAAGAGATAGTGGGTTGAGGATAGATTTGTACTGCAATAGCTGTAGGACCTAAGTGCCTCCAGGACTTTTTATTTTCTTCATGGATAAGTCCTCTTATGAGTCCCATAGGTTAGTGGCTTCATTGATCAATACATGTATTAGGTTGGCTTTGTGAACATGACCCAGTTCCCTTAATATTTTATTTATTCCAGCAGGAAACAATGTGCTTTTATGTTATATTTGTTTATCGTATACTTTATTTGCATCCTATATTTATTTTGGCCTCAGCATTATTTTCTAGAAAAGTGTCTCCAACTGTTTTCTGTATCATCATATCTATTATTAGTAATAATTATTCCTAAAGTAGAAGATTTGGTTTACATGTTACATTGAAAGAAGGCATGAAATCATAATAATACATGAGGTTTGTATCATATTTTACAGCTTATAATGTGTATAACTGGTTGATATACCATAGAAACTTCATTCGGATACATTTTAACTTCAACACAAATTTTATGCCCAGTTGTAGGGTTTCTGTGTCATAGTGAAATCAATTTCAGTGCACATTTATTCAGCATTTACCATGTATAAAGAAATGTGTTGTATTATATTAAATATGAAAAACCTGAATTATTTTTCATTTTAATCAGACAGGAAAACAAGACACTTATTATAATAATTTGGTCACTTTTGAGGAGCATTGAGAGTTAGAAATTTTAGGTTAGGAAGTTTTTACTACATATTGAAGCAAAAAAGAATATAAGTTCATAACATGTTTTTCTGTTCCCCTAACTCCAACCACTACTACTGTTATAATCCAATATTGAGGATTTTTATTTGTACCTTTGATAGTTAGAAGCAATAATGGAAATTGAAAGGAAAAAGTCTAGGAAGAATTATCTTGATTCAAACAATAAAGAAATTGCTCTGGATTAAGAAGAAAAATACCAACATAAAACAGCACAAGGAAAGTTTAGAATTTGGAGATTGGAAGGGAGTATTGGAGGAGTAGTCATCACTTTTGAGGACTCTGCAGAGATCAAAAGATTTCAATAAGTTTAGGAAGTTTCCCTAGGTAATAGGTATTTTTCAGTAAAACTCCTTATTACTGTAAAGTTTTTTTTTTTTTTTCAAATTGGATTTGGTTTTCTAGGTGTGTCACCTCCTACTCAATCTTTGATGGAAAAGACAGTAAGGTAGATAGCTACAGTGCAAGCATATTGCTGCTTTTCTCCCCAGTTCTCTGTCATTCATATCCATCAAACTCTAGAATGAGTCTTTGGATATTTGCAGTCTGTGAAAATTTTGGTTTAAATCATCATCATTAAAAAGGGTAAGAATTTTATCACATTGAGTTATAAAACAAAATATCTTATTTCTATTCTTATAAAACTTGCATTGTTAATTTTTTTTTAGTCTTCAAATAGCATAATCTTCTGATCTTACTCCTTTTATTCCCCATATCAAAATGGATACCAAGTCAGCTGGGACAATAGTGCCTGTGCTGCTGATTGAATCACACTGCATTTTAAAGCCTACTTCAGCAGTTTTATTTTGTCTTTTGTCCTAGCCATCTCTGTATAAAACTTTCTGTCCTGATAATCTATTCCAAATTTCCTGCTTACCTGCAAGAGATTCCTGCAACATATTTTGCAGCCTTTTTCCATTCATTTGTTGAGCTCACAAAATCCCTGCTTAAAATATGACATTGGTGAAAGCTATGAAGAAAACAGCTATTGTTCAGACTGGAAATGTCTGTGGCCAAGAATAGCAATGACTTCTCTGGTGCCATTTCTATCATCAGTGTTCTTATTCCTGGCAATTCAACATCAGCATTTGGGGATTTTACTGAACAAAGGAAAATTGAATTAATGAGCCAAAAAAAATGATCAACATCAAAGACTGGATGTAGTTTGAAAAAGTAAGCAAAAGAATGGATGTGTTCAATGATGTTAGTTCATTGCATGACTATTCTAAAGGATGTCACCTCTCAATCTCTTGAATAAACAAATAGGTTAAGATTTGGTTCTACAATTCCCTTTTTGAGTATAGATTTGGACATGATCCCAGTGAATATATTACCAAGGCATAACAGAGGATTTTCTCTAAGCTGTAACACTTTAAACCCAATGCCATCCAATAGAATCTTAGAGACTTCTAAAACCTATTTAATTCATAGCTGTTTTGATTATGCATACAAAGTACACAATCATTTTAACTGGGACTAGCCAAAGGGAAAATGTTGAAAAATGTATACTTATAAATCTTTATTAGTCTACATGCTTGGGCTATAATTCTAGTATGATTCTGATTATACACTGCAGTAAGGTAAGGAGCTAAAGACATAGCTATTTTCCAAGGTTCCAAGTAGTAAGATAAATAGGACTCAATACCAAGAAACTAGGCTTACCAGCTGGGGCAGACAGTACAGCGAAAGGTAGACCTGTTAGAAAGTATTGACTGAACTTCATGCATGAGCTACCAAAACAAGTATAATAAAGTACACTCTTGAGTCTTTAGGCCTGTAGTTGAGCTGAGATACTCCAAAATGTGGTTCTGGGTAGCTATTCATATCTTCTCGAAATTTTATAGTTGGGTTAGTTGTCATAGTCAAATTAAATAAAACATTGAGACATTTTGGGGTTATGGCCCAAATTGGTCTTATTAATATTTGCCCCAATTCTGTACCTCACTGTGGAAGCTTGCTATAGTAGGGATGTTGCAGAAAAGGAAAGCTTAAGAACTCTAAATATTAATAGCTTGGAATTCAATGGTGTACACAACCAGAATTTTAGCGGTATTGAAATTTAATCCAAACCCTAGGGCTTCCTTTATTTGAAAGCACTTGATGCAATTTTCTTCGCTTTTGGTTGAGGAGAATGCTGACACCTTAAGCTCAGCATCTGAAACTGTACATTAAAAATATAAAAATTGGCCTGGTGTGGTGGCTCACGCCTGTAATCCCAGCACTTTGGGAGGCCGAGGCGGGCAGATCATTTGAGGTCAGGAGTTGGAGACCAGCCTGGCCAACATGGTGAAACCTCATCTCTGCTGAAAATATAAAAATTAGCTGGGCATGGTGGCGCACGCCTGTAGTCCCAGCTACTCAGGAGGCTGAGGCAGGAAAATCGCTTGAACCCGGGAGGTGGAGGTTGCAGTGAGCTGACATCGCACCACTGCACTCCAGCCTGGGTGACAGGGCGAGACGCTGTCTGAAAAAAGTATATATATATATATATATATATATATATATATGCATAATAATATATAATTATAATAATTACATTATATATAATTATATTATATACAATATAAATATAATTATATATTAAATTATAATTTAATTATATATAATTAAAATCTGAAATTTTGAATATGTGAAACATGATACAAAGCACTTGAAGAGATTATTAATTCCTCTATTTTCATTTTGGGAGATAAGTTTTCCTTGAGAAAGAATTTGCCCTAAATTTTTGCTATCGTGTCTTAGAATCAACAGAAAGTGAATATAAAACATGAAAATCCCTGTGCTCAACTCCCTAGAGATTCTGATTTAGTAGGTTGACAGCGTGTATCCTAGGTGCTTCCATTTTAAATGGCCTGCAGAGCACTCTGGAACACACTGCACATTGTAGAATGTGCTACACTGCACATTGTAGAACACACTGCCCTGTTGTAGAATGCATATAATTTTCAAAGCAGCTGTTGCTCTCCCAAATGTCAGGAATTAATCTGTAATGAGCATGTGTGTGTTAAACGAATCAAATTGGGTATTTAATTTAATCTGGTCTAATATTTGATAAGTCTATGAAGCATTATGAGAGAAAATTTTGCATACCCTCCTTATCGTTTAAATCACTGCTTTTATTTCCACTATCAAGCACCATGACTACTGCGTGAAAAAAAAAATGAGGTCTGATAAATGATGAAATATATATATATATATATATATATTTTTTTTTTTTTTTTTTTTTTTTTTTGAGAAGGAGTCTTGCTCTTTCGCCCAGGCCGGACTGCAGTGGCGCTATCTCGGCTCACTGCAAGCTCCGACTCCCGGGTTCACGCCATTCTCCTGACTCAGCCTCCTGAGTAGCTGGGATTATAGGCGCCCGCCACCACGCCTGGCTAATTTCTTGTATTTTCAGTAGAGACGGGGTTTCACCGTGTTAGCCAAGATGGTCTCGATCTCCCGACCTCATGATCCACCCACCTCGGCCTCCCAAAATGCTGGGATTACAGGCGTGAGCCACCGCACTGGCCCTAAAAATTGTATATTTTAATAAATTAACATCCGATAGTGTTTTCCTGTCATAATCAAGTGTGTGTGTGTGTGTGTGTGTGTGTGTATGTGAGAGAGAGAGAGAGAGACAGAAAAAGAGCAAAACAAAGAGACAAAGAGATAGAGTATTCTTGGTTGGAACAACTGAAGACACAGGAAACCATGCCTGAACACAATGCAGTTGTAGCATGGGACCACATCCCTAAATAAAGGAAGACCATCAGCAGATGCTGGTTGTTACAAAGTGTGGCTTGTGTCTCTTACACAACAAACCTCTACAGATTAGTGATGGTAGTCCACCACTTTAAAGTTCTCTTATGAGTTAGTCAAGTTGTTCTTCAGCAACAATACTGATATTATAGTATGATGTTATGAGATTTAGTGTCTAAAGAAGGCACCATGGATGGGAAGAAGAGGTGTTAACAAGGTAACTTAGAGGGAGAAGAACTCTGTAATTATTAAAACTTCCTAGCTTTTGTAGATGTTTATGGCTAGGTGGAATTGTTTCGTTCTATTTCTTATTCAAGTTTAGGTAACTGTGTTGAGAATCTAGATGTTTTTCTAAAAATAAAAAAGACAGAAACTTTTAGACAATATCACTATCATTGGCCAATTCCTAGATCTTGCTTTTAAGAGCTAATATTGTATAATATTAATTGTATAAAACCTCTAGATGATATGTAAAAATGGACATGTTATCTCTTTAATATTTTATATATTACATAACTTTCTGAATTAGTTTGTGTCAAATTTATCTTACTTTCCTTTTAGAATTTTGAAATCTAAGACACATTGTGGCAGTCTTTCCTAAATCACTGCATTTATCATTTTATAAAATTTGTATCAGACATATAGAAGAATGTCATCTGCAATAAGCACTTTAAAAATATAAATGAAGTAGACACCAGAAGACTTTGCCTACAGGCCTTCCTGAAAATACCAAAGAATTGTTCCTACATATTTCCCTCTCACCACTGTAAATCTTCAATGTCCATATGCCCTTATGCCACACAGCATCCAAATGCCTTCTGCAATCCTATAGATTGCCCCATCTTTGTGCCTCCTTTTCAGAACCCTTCTAGTTATAGTGAAAACAGTTAGTCTTATTATTTTCTTTATGTATTTATTAGTTGGCAAATGTGATTTACTCTTTTCTAAAATAAAAAACACTTGAGGGTAGTTAACAGCTTTATAATTAGATTATTATTATTATTATACTTTAAGTTCTGGGATACATGTGTAGCATATGCCGGTTTGTTACACAGGTATACATGTGCCATGGTGGTTTGTTGCACCCAACAACCCGTCACCTACATTAGATATTTCTCCTAATGCTATCACGCCCCTAGCCCCCCACCCCCCAACAGGCCCTGTGTGTGATGTTCCACTCCCTGTGTCCATGTGTTCTCATTGCTCAACTCCTACTTATGAGTAAGAACATGCAGTGTTTGGTTTTCTGTTCCTGTGTTAGTTTGCTGTGAATGATGGTTTCCAGCTTCATCCATGTCCCTGCAAAGGACACAAACTCATCCTTTATTATGGCTGCATAGTATTCCATGATATATATGTGCCACATTTTCTTAATCCAGTCTATCATTGATGGACATTTGGGTTGGTTCCAAGTCTTTGCTACTGTGAATAGTGCTGCAATAAATATACTTGTGCATGTGTTTTTACAGTAGAATGATTTTTAATCCTTTGGGTATATACCCAGTAATGGGATTGCTGGGTCAAATGGTATTTCTGGTTCTAGATCCTTGAGGAATTGCCACACTGTCTTCCACAATGGTTGAACTAATTTACACTCCCACCAACGTGTAAAAGTGTTCCTATTTCTCCACATCCTTTCCAGCATCTGTTGTTTCCTGACTTTTTAATGATCACCATTCTAGCTGGCATGAGATCGTATCTCATTGTGGTTTTGATTTGCATTTCTCTAATGACCAGTGATGATGAGCTTTTTTTCATATGTTTTTTGGCTGCATAAATGTCTTCTTTTGAGAAGTGTCTGTTCATATCCTTCACCCACTTTTTGATGGGGTTGTTTTCTCTTGTAAATTTGTTTAAGTTCCTTGTAGATAGATTCTGGATATTAGCCCTTTGTCAGATGGATAGATTGCAAAATTTTTCTCCCATTCTATAGGTTGCCTGTTCACTCTGATGATAGTTTCTTTTGCTGTGCAGAAGCTCTTTAGTTTAATTAGATCCCACTTGTCAATTTTGGCTTTTGTTGCGATTGCTTTTAGTGTTTTAGTCATGAAGTCTTTGCCTATGACTATGTCCTGAATGGTATTGCCCAGGTTTTCTTCTAGGGTCTTTATGGTTTTAGGTATTACATTTAAGTCTTTAATCCATCTTGAGTTAATTTTTGTATAAGGTGTAAGGAAGTGGTCCAATTTCAGTTTTCTGCATATGACTAGCCAGTTTTCCCAACACCATTTATTAAATAGGGAATCGTTTCCACATTGCTTGTTTTTGTCAGGTTTGTCAAAGATCAGATGGTTGTAGATGTGTGGCATTATTTCTGAGGCCTCTGTCCTGTTCCATTGGTCTATAGACCTGTTTTGGTACCAGTACCATGCTCTTTTGGTTACTGTAGCTTTGTAGTATAGTTGGAAGCCAGGTAGCATGATGTCTCCAGCTTTCTTCTTTTTGCTTAAGATTGTCTTGTTTATACGGCCTCTTTTTGATTCCATGTGAAATTTAAAGTAGTTTTTTATAATTCTGTGAAGAAAGTCAATGTCAGCTTCATCCCTGGGATGCAAGACTGGTTCAACATATGCAAATCAGTAAACATAATCCATCACATAAACAGAACCAATGACAAAAACCACATGATTATCTCAATGGATGCAGAAAAGGCCTTTGATAAAATTCAGCACCCCTTCATGCTAAAAACTCTCAATATACTAGGTATTGATGGAACATATCTCAAAATATTAAGAGCTATTTATGACAAACCCTCAGCCAATATCATACCGAATGGGCAAAAGCTGGAAGCATTCCCTTTGAAAACCGGCACAAGACAAGGATGCCTTCTCTCACCACTCCTATTCAACATAGTATTGGAAGTTCTAGCCAGGGCAATCAGGCAAGAGAAAGAAATAAATGGTATTAAATTAGGAGGAGAGGAAGTCAAATTTTCTCTGTTTGCAGATGACATGATTGTATTTTTAGAAAACCCCATCGTCTCAGCCCAAAATCTCCTTAAACTGATAAGCAACTTCAGCAATGTCTCAGGATAAAAAATCAATGTGCAAAAATCACAAGCATTGCTATACGCCAATAATAGAGAGCCAAATCATGAGTGAACTCCCCTTCACAACTGCTACAAAGAGAATAAAATACCTCGGAATCCAACTTACAAGGGACGTGAAGGACCTCTTCAAGGAGAACTACAAACCACTGCTCAAAGAAATAAGAGAGGACACAAACAAATGGAAAAACATTCATGCTCATGGATAGAAAGAATTAATATCATGAAAATGGCCATACTGCCCAAAGTAATTTATTGATTCAATGCTGTCCCCATCAAGCTACTGTTGAATTTCTTCACAGAGTCAGATATTTAATACACATTTAATATGACTTATAGTTAACAGTTTCAGAGGTAGTTTCGTATTTTATTCTTAGATATGATTTTAGAAATTGATAGTTTCCGATGAAAATATCTTAAATCATTGTTTAAACTGCTTTCATAAAAGTCTTGTTTATTTTATATATATATATATATATCTCCCTTTCCTCCCTCTCTCTCTCTCAAGACAGGGACTTCAAATTCAGGTTGTACTTGACTTTTGAAAGTACTTCACTGAATAGTACACAAGGATATGTTGAGCTCCCTTTAATTCTGATAAATTTAAATATTTTCAATATTTCATAATAAGCAATTCATTTTCTTTTAAATTGGGGAAATTTCAATCTATAATTAATTTTAATAGAATTATACAAGCAAATAACCAAGAAGGAAAATAAAACCTATAACAATAAATAACAACCAGTAAAACACTGGAGAGAAATACTTGATTTTTCACACAAGCCCAGGGAAAAAATGTGTAAAACTAGTACATGTCAAGCCAAGGGAGATATATATATATATAGTTTTTGAGACAGACTCTTCGTCTATTGCCCAGGATAGAGTGCAGTGGCATAATCTTGGCTCACTGCAACCTCCACCTCCCGGGTTCAAGCAAATCTCCTGCCTCAGCCTCCTGAGTAGCTGGGACTACAGGCACCTGCCATCATGCCCGGCTAATTTTTGTAGAAAATTAATTTTTAGTAGAGATGGGGTTTTGCCATGTTGGTCAGGCTTGTCTTGAACTCCTGACCTCAGGTGATCAGCCAGCCTCAGCCTCCCAAAGTGCTGGGATTACAGGCTTGAGCCACCGTGCCGGGCCCAAGCCAAGGAATTTTATAATAAAATTCATGAATAACAATGAAAAAATGTTGAAGTACGTGTTGAAAAGACACGCATTAAACTTCTAGTCTTATAAACGGTATTTTTGCTTTTTCCACTATTTTAAATTCAAAACTTTTTTTCTGTTTTGCTATATATATGCTCATATCTAACAGAATTTCCTTTTCTGGATAGCACTCTAGAATAGTACTTTGGATATTAAGGTCTTCAGGATCTTGCATGAGACCACATTTAGAACATAGCATCAAATTAAATATGTAATTAATACAGAGGGAAGGAATTTCTAAAATGACTCAAAACTTTAGAAGGCTTAAATTCTTTCTGCTTATAAATGGAGACATTTCGTTGGTCAGCTGAGAAACGCAAGTTCAATTCTCTTTTAGTCTTGTTACAAATGACAAACCTCAGACTTCGTTGATTTGCATCAATATGTAGACATGGTATGGCAATTCTATTTCACATCCCGTGAATTTTAAGCTGATGCAAATGCAGAAGAATAAGCCAATATACTGACAAACCAAATAAACTTGGAAAAAAAGTCCCAATTCTCAACAACATTAATCATAATATTTTTCTCAAGAATTCTTGAGACCCCTTTTGTGATTTGTTTACTTCTGGTTGTATTGGAAAAAAATTATTGGTGGACAGTCTTTTCTTTAGGGCAGTTTTCCTCAGTATTGAGATATTGGTGCTTGTCATCCTTTGTCAGAAACACAATGGACTCCAGGTCAATATATATTTTGGAAAAAATATATTTATTATTCTTATATTTATATGAATAAATACAAATGACGTATTACCCCTTGTGCTTCTACCTGTTTTTGTTCACCATGTTTCAATTGCAAGCTTTTGCCCACGTGAAGAAAATATACATTTACATTTTACATGTTCATTTGGTAAGCTTTGAAGATTCACTTTTAATGCAGGATACACCTCCTTCATTTATTCAAAAGAGATTGATTGAACATCTAAAATTTAGGAACTGTGGAAGATACTGGGAAAAATTTTAAGATATATATATATGTCATTTGCATATTTTTCTAGTAGTTGTTACTGAGTATATACAAGGGGCTAAATCTCAGAAATAGAACTAGGATGGATATCGAATTATATTAAGGCATAGTTGCTTCTTTGCAATAATTTTTTTTTTTTTTTGGAGATTGAGTCTCGCTCTGTCGCCCAGGCTGGAGTGCAGTGGTACAATTTCAGTTCGCTGCAACCTGTGCCTCCTGGGTTCAAGTGATTCTCCTGCCTCAGCCTCCTGAGTAGCTGGGATTACAGCATGCCCAGGAATACACCATGCCCGGCTAATTTTTGTATATTTTGTAGAGACAGGGTTTCACTTTGTTGGCCAGGCTGGTCCCAAACTCCTGACCTCAAGTGATCTGCCCGCCTTGGCCTCCCAAAGTGCTGGGATTACAGGCATGAGCCACAGCATCCAGCCTGCTTCTTGCAAGAAGAAGAATGTGTGTGAGGAGAAAGAATCCATTAAAGGGGGAGGTTGTGATAAATTACAGATCGCTGTATATGCAAATTCTTTTCCAATCTTTCCTCTGAGAAGTGAACTTCAATTTAATCTGGACTGTCTTTAGTGATTTATATTAATAATAAAGTGCATTAGAAGTAATATTGTGGGACTTCCAAGGCTAGGTCATCAAATGGCGTCCAGCTTCATCCCTGGCTCTCTGGAAATGCTCATTCTTGGGAGATTTTTCCCTCTAAGAACCCAGTAGGCATTCAGTGAGAGGCTGCAGGGCTTGTGTCCTGGTCAGAAGCCACAACTGAGCTTGCAGGTGAAAGCCAGCATCAGCCACTGGCCTGCAAATAAGCCATCTTGGATACCCAAACCAGGAGAACTTACAGGTAACCAGAGCCCCAGATGATGTCTATCTTCAACTGTGGTAGAGACCTCAAGTTACAACCAGGGTATGGTGTACTTTAAGTTTTCTAAACAAGCATTTATAAATATGATTTTATTCCCTCAATATTAACTCACCATCACGAAGTAGGTGCCTGGAGGTCATTTACATTCAGTGTTAATGTATGTTAGAATATAGCATGGTAACGGCTGGGGTTGGTGGCTCACACCTGTAATCCCAGCATTTTGAGAGGCCGAGGTGGGTGGATCACGAGGTCAGGAGATCGAGACCATCCTGGCTAACATGGTGAAACTCCTTCTCTACTAAAAATACAAAAAAAATTAGCCGGGCCTTTTGGCCGGTGCCTGTAGTCCCAGCTACTCGGAGGCTGAGGCAGAATGGCGTGAACCCGGGAGGCGGAGCTTGCAGTGAGCTGAGATCGCCCCACTGCACTCCAGCCTGGGCGACAGAGTGAGACTCCATCTCCAAAAAAAAAAAGAATATAGCATGGTAACAAACTGGGAAATCACAGTGGCTCAACACATCAAGTTTTTATTTCTTGATCACAGTACATATCCAACTTAAGTTGGCAGGTGGCTCCACTTCGTCAATTATAAAAGGATCCAGGTTAATAGATGCACAACTATCTCATGGCTACACCTCCTGGAACGCAAGTTCTCCTTGTGTGCTGAGGCAGGGGAACTAGAAAACTGGAGAATCACATATGGGCATTTCAGTCTCACTCTTTCACTTTCGCTTACACTGACATTTAATTGGCCAGAAGTAGTCAGATAGCTCTCACATGTAGGGGACCATGCAAATATAGAAGAGCAATGGGAATATTTGGTATTGCTGACTCTTCCACACTCACAGACTTGGATTCCAGTCAGATATTTCATGAAACATCTAACTTACATACTAATGTTAAGTGTGGGCATAGATAAATTCAATGAAAATGTAGAAGCTTGAAAAATAAAAGAAATAAGGGGAACATGACCAAGAATAGAAATAATAATATTAAGAGGGAGAAGAGTGAAAATAAGAAGTGACGTTTATTTCAAATTTATGGTACTCTAGGTATGTTCTAAGACCTTAACATGTGTAGGCATGTTCTAAGATCTTAAGATACATACTTCATTTAATCATCACAACTACCTCTAAAGTAATTATTATTATTATCATCTGATATGGTTTGGCTGTGTCCCCACCCAAATCTCGTCTTGAATTATAACTCCCATAATTTCCACCTGTTGTCCGGGGACTGGCTGGGAAGTAACTGAATCATGGGGGCAGGTTTTTCCATGCTGTTCTCATGACAGTGAGTTAGTCTCAGGAGATCTGATGGTTTTATAAAGGGCAGTTCCCCTGCACCTCTGCACATGCTCCCTTGCCTGCTGCCACATAAGACGTGCCTTTGCTCCTTCGCCTTCTGCTATGATTGTAAGGCCTCCCCAGCCATATGAAACTGTGAGTCCATTAAACCTCTTTTTCTTTAGAAATTACTCAGTCTCAGGTATGTCCTTATAGCTGCATGAGAATACGCCAATACATCATCATTTTACTGAAGAGAAAACTGAAATACAGAGAAGTTCA
The DNA here is from genome assembly GCF_000001405.40 of Homo sapiens. NCBI lineage: Eukaryota > Metazoa > Chordata > Mammalia > Primates > Hominidae > Homo > Homo sapiens. Next base: position 157,025,249 of record NC_000004.12, on the reverse strand, counting down.
GTAATTAGCTCAAGGTCACAAAACCAGATGATGGTGGAACTAGGATTTGAACCCAGGCAGTCTCACTCCAGATTTGACTAAAATTGAAAAAAAAAAAAAAAAGAGAGCAACACCTGGAGCGGATCATCTTGTTTTCCAAAGAGCATCACAGAGTAGCATCATTATTATATTAAAATGCTTTAGACCAGAATCTAAGCTTTCTAAACTCAGAAGTATCATGGTCTCTCAGGAGTGACTGCAGACTGATATATGATAAGATGCCACTACATTAATTTACAATGAGGCTTCATATTCTCCAAGAGATTCAGTGTCTTTGTTTAGAAAAGCTGCAAGTGAAATATAACTCTAACAAAGGTACTTGTTTATTACTTTATAATTAATGGTACAGCTGCTAAGTAGACTGAGTACCCAAGTTCTCAGACTAGAGCAACCTTGCTCTCAGAGAAGTTGACATTGAACCTCAAAGATGCCTGGTGATGAGGAAGTGGAACCAGAATAAGTTAATCATGAGACTCCATTATTTACTGGCATTAAAAAGAGTAGAATGATCCCCTCTCTATGATAAGAATTATACTTGCCACTGAGATGAGTCAAGTGTAGTCTGTATTCAAACTGACCATCACCACTCGTCCCCACTCAACAACACCAGAGTCTCAAATCTTCTCAGTTCACAGCGACCTTAGTGTCCTCAGTTTTTTTTAAATAATGTTGCCTAACATTATTAAAAGAAATACCTAACAGTTCTTTTATTAAGTAGTGAGGGCCAAACAATTTAATAAGTATTCATGTCCTATAACTCAGTAACCATATGAAAAAAATGACACATACATTTAAAAATTAATATTTATACATTATTATTTATTAACCACATTTATTTACTAATGGTAGATGAACACCTACTGGAACTACTCAAGTTCTCAAACTTTGAAGTCAGATTAGACAACAGCACCTAATTTCCTCTTCCGTGTTGATTTTTACAAGGTACTTGACTTCAAAACTTAGATTCTCAAGGATATGATATCACTGAAAAGAAGGTAGTCCAATCTACTGTTTTATGTAGCTTGTACTTCCAGCTTCACGAGCGACCTAGTAGTCTGTGCAGTGGCCAATAGATGTCGGGTATGACTGTGCCTCCTTTGAAAATGACTAATACAGTAATTTTGAGCACTCAGTTGCTCAGGCTACTTAGCAGCTGTTCCATTCATTATAAATTAGTAAACAAGTACCTCTTTTTAGAGTTATATTTCCCTCACAGCTTTTCTAATCAAAGAGAATGAATCTCTTGGAGCATATGAAGGCTCATTATAAATCTCCTGAAAAACACCACACTCCAGTGTGAACCTGGGGGCCTTAGACAATGTGTAGACAGGCACAGTCAACATTTGTTTCTGAGAATTTGTCCATACTACCTTGAATGACCAATCTGCCTTTGATTTGACCCATTCTTTCTTCATTTATGTTAATATATTCTAACTGATACTTTGGCCTGGGGTGAAGTCCTTAACTTCTACTATTGACTACACTTCTTCTCAGACTTTCTCTTCTGTTTAACACTCAGATGGCAACTTCATTTACTTTGTTGCCAAATTCTTAGGGAGAACTTCAACATTGCTTCCATGGACAAATAAGAGAAACTACGCAAAAGTACTCAAGGATATGGTATAAAAACTACAGTTATAAAGTTGGGCAGATCATGAATCTAAAAAGCTTTGGTCTAGGCACTGTGCTATTTTTAATATCAGCCAAGTTTCAAATGAAACATGTATGCTAATCTTTGAGACATCCAGTTCTTCACCTCCACCACTTGGACTTGTTTTATAAAATCAGCAACAACATACATGACTAATGTCTCAGACCAGGTGAGGTTCTCATAAGTATCAAAGCATCCTCTACACCTCAATATACAATGTTTCTTTCCCTCTTCCTCAATTTAACAAAATATGTTTTATTGTTTCTATCATAAAGAAAGAAAATAGTTAAATAATGAATTTGACTAACTGTGAATATATTTATCTACTCAGTCACCACTGCTTCAGATAATCCACCTTAGAGTCAAATTCTTAGGATGTAAATGAAACACAGTGTTTAAAAAGAAACTACAGATTGCTTCTATTCAATTTATATTTTATAGATTTTAGTAATAAAGAAGCATTTAAATTTGTTTTTTTTTTAATTTGTTTTCCCTTTTCAGTGTAGTATCACTCAGGAATAAAAGGCAAGTACATAAAATAAGGGAAAAATATTGGTTCAATTCCTTTTTCCATAAAAATGATCCCACTGATTATAAAAATCCTCCACTATAAAATATGAAAGGCTATTATCAATATCAAACACCTCTTTTTTTCAAACACCTTTCTTTACCCTTAGCAAACCATTGGAAGGAAGAGTGAAGATCGCTTAGCAATAATACAATCTTCCCTTCAATATGTGTAAAGAAAAGCTAGAACGGTTTTATTTGTTAAGATTATCTCTTAGCCTGTTTCGTTAATAGATTCTGATACTTCATCTTACAAATATATTGTATTTATTTATTTTTCAGGACTATTGAACATGATATTTGATTAAAATCTGGCACGGACATTAGTCAATAATCTTCTGTTCTGGCTCTATTTCTAGAAAACTATTATCTTGAAAATTACTCTATTAGTCAGATTTCACTACGGTTACCTGAGGAATAAACATTCTCAAAATCCCAGGAGCTTCTAACAACCATATTTACTTTTCTCTTATATTGTATGCTAGTGGATCTGCTCCAAGGCTATGGGTGAGCTTCAGACGTGCTCCATACAGCTCTTATCATTCCAGGGCCCAAGTGTGCAGCACCCCTACCTTCTATTCAATTTATATTTTATAGATTTTGTGATGCTCATGTGATGAGAGGCAAGAACACAGGGAGCTGCTGAGAATTCAATGCTCCATGAAGCCCCATCTCAGACTTGTTGCAATGTCACTTCCATCCATATTCCATTGACAAAAGCAGGTGAGTGGTGAAGGCCAACCTCAGTGAGATGGGGAAATAGGGTTTTCCCAAGCAGGGGAAAACAGAGGAGAATGAATACTTGTTGAACAATAATGCAATCAACCTCCATCTGTCATGTTCTCTTGCTTCCTTTCATGTACATAATTGACTCACTACTTCTGCTCAAAAGGAAGGTGATATGGTTTGGGTCTATGTCTGTGCCCAAATCTCACATTGAAGTGTAATCCCCAATGTTGGAGGTGGGGCCTGTTGGGAGGTGATTGGATCATTCAGTCAAGTTCTCATAAATGGTTTAGCACCATTCCCCTAGCCCTGTTATCACGATAGAGTTCTGTTGAGATCTGATTGTTTTAAGTGTGTAGCGCCTTCCCCTCCTCTTTTGCTACTGCTCTGGCCATGAACTGCCTTCCCCTTCGCCTTCTGGCATAATTGTAAGTTTTCCTGAGGCCTCCCCAGAAGCCAAGGAGATGCCAGCATCATGCTTCCTATACAGCCTGCAGAACCATGAGCCAATTAAACCTCTTTTCTTTATAAATTGCCCAGCCTCAGATATTTCTTTATAGCAGTGCAAGAATGGGCTAATACAGAAGACATTGAAAGTCTCATCTAATCATGGCACCAGGATGTAAGTACATGATCTCATGACAGTCTCTGCATCAAGTCTTAGTGTGAGTCTGTTTGATTTTGAGACCGATGAAATATAAAGACAAGTTATCTACCCTCACATATACCCTAAATACAATTGTAAGACAAAGCAGGTGAATCACAATAAACACTCCATCTGAAAATAGGAAGAGCGGGAGATGCAGAGCAGTCACTGGCTCATGAAATTCTGAAACCTTGCTGGGCAAATGTTGCAGACATCCTCTGTACTGAAGATAGCACCTGTTTTTGTGATTAGGCCCCAGTTTGTCTTCCTGCGAATGGCTCCTCAGTCTATTTTCTCCATGGCTCTTGGAACCACCTTCTGGGAAGCCCTTCCTCTTTAGTTCTTCGGTCAGATCTTAAGAGGCCATTGGGGTTTCTGACATTTAGGGTGGTTGGGATGCTTTCTCAGCCTGCCTCCTGGCCATGGAATTGGCACACAAGTGTCAGTTTGTGTTTAATATAGTGATACTCTTTAAAAAAAAAAAATCCAGGCTAGCAGTAGTATTAAGCAATCCAACTTGTTCAGAAAGTTTATTGACTTATGTTCTTTATTCTAGGCCTGTAGTCATACCAAAATTCTTTTTGAGCCAGGTATCTGTCACTAGACTTAATTACAAGTACTTCTTGCTTATCAATGCTCTCAGGGACCAAGTCCTTTGTCACTTTTCCTCAGCCACTTTTTTCCAACTGAAAGGAATTATTGGAGGCCACAATCTGAAGTTTTAAAGAAATGTGTGATTGGCACGCACCTTGATTTGTTTTTGCTCTGAGGTTGTGTCTTGAATAGTAATCCATATTTATGGCTCAAGGGATTTCTCAATTTTATCTTTTACTAACGGAAATGAGAGACTACTTCATTCTCCAGTCCTCCAAAATTGCTTAGACTCTCTATATAACCCTCCGTTCTCACAAACATTATAGTTCATATCTGAGCTTGTCCTTTGTGTATTAGCTTTAGAAATAGAGCAAATGGCAACAAACTCCAAACACCAAACACATTAAGTGCACGCGTAGTCTCTCATATATTCAAAAGCACTTAAAAGTTTTGCCAAATATTTCCTGATTGCCTACCATAGGTTGTCATTTTTCCAGATTCCTGTAAGTTTCCTTACCACACAAACCAGCCCCAATCTAGTACTCGAACACTCAATTTCTTTGTTGTCATTGTGAAAAACACTTCATTTCTAGGTACTGTTATTTCTAGTTGTAAATTAGTCTCCATAACACAAAGAAAAATAAACAATCTCAAAATCTCGGTGGCTTATATTACAATTACTTATGTCTTCTTCATATTGATCATTATTGGCTCTAGCTGTGAGCTGCAGCAGTGCTCAGGCCGTGAATTGAATTGGATTCAGATGTGCTCCACAAGATAGTAGGACCTGGTAATGTCTTTTAAAGTCCAGAATTGTCAACGTGCTAGTTCTACCTACATTCTATTGGCCAAAGCAAGCCATATAATAAAGCTCAACACTGATAGGATAGCAAAGTACATTTATCTCAGTAGCAAGAGAAGATGGAATATTTGTTGACGGGTAATACAGTTTACCACAGTTGCTAAACATTTTGGTTTAACTATGATGTCAATCAATGAAAAGAAGTGAAGATATAGAAGTATCCATATTATGTGACTAATGATTAGATGCCTTTATGCTTCCAGTATTTACGTAATATTTGTAATAATAGTTTAAATAACTAGTTATTATTTTGAAATAAAGCTAAAGCCTATCTACTCCTTGCTCTTCAGAAATTTCTTTATTAAAATACTGTCCCAATTTTCTTACTGCTAGCACATATCCTGAAGTAAGTGAGCATGCAGTAAGATATTTAGGTCTGTATAACACGAGTTATATGTGACTCAGGATAGCAGTGGGAAGTGATAATAATTTCTTTACCTGCACTATCAAAACATATAAAACTGAATCTATCTCATCTTTGGACAAACTTCAACCTTTTCTAGTCCGTATAGTGCTACACTGAAGTATATTTGGCAAATATGTTGCCTTTTAGTACTACCATAATATTGTCAATCTGCCTATCAACTAGGTTTACCTTGGCTTTCCATTTAAGAAATACATTTTTCTATAACATGAACCAGGTATAAAGTAAAATCTCTTCAACCATCAAACCTGCATTCTTTCTTCCCAGCATCATTAGTGGAAAAGTTTGGAATTCTTTCGAGTTATATAAATTTTTAGCTTTTATCCTTTGGATAATATTTACATACACCAGTCAGACTTAGAGAAGTCATCCCAAAGCCTACTGCTGAAAGGAAAGTGTGAACAAAGGCACAATGTGCTTCTCTGATGAAGAATTTGGCTTATCCAGTCTCAGCACCTTTAAAAATATCACTCAGCACCTGATAGTCATTTCAGAATGTTAACAGATCTTTGGCAGTCTGCAATAAGCAACTGTATCAGTGCCATTAGCCTTATACGTGTGTCCTATAATTCAGCCATTCTATGACTATTATGTTATCTGTCTGTCAGATTTCATAACTGTAGGGAGAAGGGTAAAAGATTCAATGCTTCTAAAGGAATTTTATACCAGCTGCTCATGTCAGTTGTCTGCTTGTTCATTTTATAACAAGCTTAAATTCATAAGGAGGGGTATAACTACTATGAAGACAAAGACAGGGACCATTACGAGGGTTGGGACCATCTCTCATTTCTTCAGGGGCACCATGTCATTTCATTCACTCATCACAGCAGTTGGACCTGCCCTGGGATGCCAGCCAGAAAATTCTAGAGAGGGAAGATGAAGTAAATTGCACAGAATTCTGATTCTTAGGGATATAATCTTCATCTGAAATCTCCTCTTGGTGCATAAATCAAAGTCAAGTCTAAGATTCAAGGGTGATCTAAGACTCAAATACATTAGTCTCGGATTCTCCAATGTAAACCTCAATTCTCTACTATTTTCTTCCACTTTTCATAAGTAAGAAGGAAGACCTTTGCCTAAAAACAAATGACAGAATAGTACCATGAGATAAATACTTAAGAAGGAGCACCACACACCCCTATAATAAAATGGCTAAAATCGAAAGCACTGACAACACCGAGTGCCGAGGTGAAGCAATAGGAACTCCCATTCGTTGCTATTGGAAATGCAAAATGGTACAGCCGCTTTTGAAATCAGTTTGCGAGTTTCTTCTAAAAGTAAACATACTTATATGTATGATCTAAAAATTGCACTCTTTGGCATTTACCCAAATGAATTGATAACTATGTCTATACAAAATCCTGCAATGAATATTTATAGCAGCTTTATTCATAAATGCTAAAACATGGAAGCAACCAAGATGTCCTTCAACATGTGAGTGGATTAATAAATGGTGATACACCCATTCAATGGACTATTATTCAACAATAAAAAGAAATGAACTATTAAGCCATGAAAAAGCCTGAAAGAACCTCAGATGCATATTGCTAAATAAAAGAAGCCAATCTGAAAAGGCTGCATAATGCATAAGTCCAACATATGGCATGATAGAAAATGCAAAACTATGGAGACAGTGGTCACCAGAGCTTCAGGGAAAAGGAGGAATGAGTGGATAAACAGAGCAATGAAACTATTCTGCATAATTCTGTAATGATGGAAACTTGTCATTATACAGTTATGACACAACACGCTCTACAACACGAAGAGTGAACCCTAATGTACACTGTGGCCTTTAATTAGTAACAATGGATCAAAAATGGTTCATTAATTATGACAAATGTACCACACTAGCAGTACCCAACCTTGCTGGCACCAGGGACTGATTTTGTGGAAGACAATCTTTCCATGGACCTGGGGTGGGGTTGGGAGGGAGATGGTTTGGGATAAAACTGTTCCACCTCAGATCATCAGGCATTAGTTAGATTCTCATCTCATAAGAAATTTTACAGAAAGCTTTAAGTTTACTTTCTGCAAACTTAAAACTCAAAAAATTAAAGTCTATTGATGTAAGAAAAAGAATTTAAGACCATACAGCTGTGAAGTGATTAGGTTACAACAAATGGCATCATGATTTAAAATTAATTCAACTAATTGCAAAAGTTATGCATGAAAATAAATTTCATGACACATTACTTTTTATTTCAAAACAATTCTGGATTTATTCAGGAAAAAAGTTAAAAAGAAGTTGTGTGAAAACTGACACTATATTTACTATGTATTTAAAAGTCTTATATTTAAAAATATATGGTTTGTTTTCTAAAGAATATTATCTTAAATATATTTTAAAAGTATTTTATAATTTTAAATATTATAAAAAGTAAATATTCTCTTTTAAAATATTTTTTAAGTTGAAGACATCTTTATTTACCCTTAAACTGCCTTCTGCCATTGCATTAGTTATAGGTGCTAATTATCTCTTGCCTAGAATACTCATTCATTCATTTGTTCTTCATACATGAAGTACTTACTATATGCTAAGCATTGTCCCAGATTTAATGAAGAAAATGTGATAGAGTTAAATAGCAGTACCTCTGACCTCAGGGAGCACACAGATGTTAATGAGACAGAGTGGTACTTTAAATCCAAAGTAGGCTTAATTCTGTAACAGTCAAAATCTCAGCAACTGAACAATATTGAAGTCAATTTCCAATTTATATCACATTCTAATGTGGATTGATGTATATGTGGTAGGGGGTGAAATTTGTTGAAGAGAAGCTTGCCTCCATGCGGTGACTCAGAAATTCAGGGTCTTTCTAGCTAGTATCTCTAGCTTCAACATGTGGTCTTTTGGGAAAAAAAAAAAAAGTTGGGGGAGAAGGCAGAAAATGAAGGTAAAATGTACAACACTGTATATGGTGTTTTACTTGAAGGTACAAGCCTAGTAGCTGTGTACATCACATGGCCCCAACCTAACTAGAAAGGAGGGTGGGAAATAGAATCTTTCTATATTGCCAGAAGAATCTTTTTATATTGCTATATTAAATGGGTTAATAAAGAACACAGTGTTTTCCTGTCACACAGACATATAAGAAAATATTTACAATATAATAATATATATTTTATATAAATATAAAAATATGTACAATATAAAATTGTATATAATTTATAATATAATGTATACAATATAATATATAATTATATATTATAATATATATTTAAAATATAATAAGAAAATATTTACAATATAATATAATATTTACAATATAATATAATAATATAATATAATATATTGTAAATAAGTTATATTTACAATATAACATTGGAGGATGTTATAGCTTTCCACCAATTTTAACACATTTTTGCTTAAAAGTTGCTTTTTATTTTCTCAATCTTTGTCTAATATCTTAAAGTTTGCTTTTCTAAATAAATTCATTCTGGCATTTCCTCACCTCTAACCTCCATTTGAAAGTTTAAGGTAGATTTTTCAGTTACTGCAGTAATGCCACCACTACAAATGACCTCCAGGTGACAGTGCTAAAGGATATTTGAAAATCCTGAATTGTAATAACATTGTGTGGTAAAATACAGCCCAATATCTCAAAATCACTCAAAGACAGAAACCCATAAATAAATTCACACAATACTGACTAAACATAGGTGGAAGACATGTCTGTTTGCCTGCTAAATTGGTGCCACTGTGTGACGATAAAGCCAACACAGTTTACAATTTCCTCTGCCTCATAGTTTTAAACTTATGTAAACTTGATTAATATTTTAAAATTTTATCAGATTCTCAATATTACCCAGTGTGATATTAATGTTTTTAGTTACTTTTTGTAAAATCACATAATAAACTTAGCATAAAATGTGACCAAATTTGTAAACTGCTTTTTCAGTAGCATCATAAGCTACAGAAAAATCTGTGATAGATTCTGTCTTTAGCCACTTCTACCTCCTTCCCATTTTCTGTGGGTAACCCATAGAGAATTATAAAGAAGAAGCACAAATCTCATCATGCTACTTCTTTAAGTAAAATGTTCAATACTTCTTCACCCCACCGACTCGATTACCTATAGGAAAAAGGCCATACTCTAAAGATTTTAAATACAATTCCATATAACAAACATCTAATGACAATCTGCCAGAAGCCAAGTGTTTGCAAGAAACAGAACTGAAAAACTCTTTACAATCTTTGCAAACCTTATTCTTCCATCCGTTTTCTCTACCACTGTCCATCTTTGGCTCTAACATACTTAGCAGTGAGTCATTCCCTGACCACAAGATGTTTTTTATATCTCCTTGCCTTTGAGCATGCTGTATCAGCCAGAGTTTAGCGTAGGAAACAGGCACTGCAAGCAGAAAGGGATCTATCATAGGAAATGAAATTCTTATAAGTTGATTAGAAGGGCGGGTGCAGAGGGAGTCATGGGACTGCTACTGGACCAATGAGCTCAGAGACACACTTGATGCTGACAGCTAGAGCCAGGTATGCTGATTCTGTCTCCTGCAATTACTATGACTGCCTTTAGCTACAATAGACGCTGGAACATTAAGTCTAGCTACTACTTTAAACCCTAACTCTCTTTAAACTCAAAAATCTCTGTCGCATTATTTGCTAGTTAAAAAGCACCGAATACAAGGTTCCTACCACACAGCCACATTCCAAATCTCACAGGAATGCATCTAATTAGCATAGCCTACTTTGCATCCAGACTTTGGCTACCAGAAAGTGTAGGAAACACGGCTTTTGACCTCTCTGCCCCCCATAGGTCCCGAATGCACATGGAAGTAAGAATGAGTGCCGAGCCGTATCCAGAACGTAGTTTGTTTCTTATGCCTTGATTGCTTTCCTTCCCTATACGATACCAACTCCAACATCCAGCTCTAGTATTTCCTTCTGTGTGATGATTTTCCTGGCTTTAAATCAGGATCACAACATTGCTCAATTCCTAGTAGTACTGTTCTCATAGAAGATATTGCATAAAAGGAATATATAGAATGTCTTGGGTTCTGAGTGAATGGTGCCCCCTGAAATTATTCACCATAATAACCCTGCTGTAGGTCAGACTCCTCTCTGCTTCCACAAATTTACTGTGCTGTGATATTTTGTTCTCGTTGACCCTAAAGAAAGACTGTGAACTTTCAGAAAGCAAAGCCTATATCTTATTCTTATTTATATATTTCTCTTTTCTTTCTGCTATGCCCTAGTGTACAAAAGGCACCCTAAGAAGTGTTTGTTAAATGAGTTAGTGAATGAATGTATGTAGAAATGAATGAATGAATCAACCAAGCCCTTAAAATACCTTTTAATTATAGATTTTAAATGTCATTTTTGTTTTGGTATCATGAGAACAAAAAGATGACTTCTGGAAACTTTTGTGTATTTGGAGGAAAAGTTTTGCGAAATTTTAGGTATATAGAAGGTTCTTTTTAATCACTTATTTTAAATGTCTAAGATGATCATCTGGAAAAAAAGCAAAAATACATAATAATTTATATTTGAGAATTACCAGTTGTAAGTCACGTATATTAGTATTGTTAAAGCAAACTAAATATGGCCTGAGAAGGACTCCGTACTTCTATATTTGAGTCCTTGTGGACAAAATGTAACCTAGCTTAATAGGTAGACAAGATTGAAAACCTAACTTGGAAGTATGAGCCTGTAACAAAAGCTGAGTCTTGGCCAATCCCAGCGGCCATACATCAACCACTCATAGACTGCTAAGTGTTCAAACGGTGTTCAAATAAGGCAAACGCCAACCTGAAACCAATCCAGCTATTTCTGTACCTCACTGCCAATTTCTGTATGTCACTTTCCTTTTTTTGTCTATAAATTTGTTCTGATCACAAAGCATCCCTGGAGTCTCTGTGAATCTGCTGTGATTCTGGTGGCTGCCTGATTCATGAATCATTCATTGCTCAATTACACTCCTTTACATTTAACTGGGCTGCAGTTTTTCTTTTAACGGTATATATGTATGATACTTCATGGCCATGGCCATTTTTTTTTTCTGTTTAGGATTTAGAATTAAGCTGGGAACAAAGAGTAGTACCTTAGCATGACTGGCAAAAGATATGATCTCTTTAGAGCTTTGTTGTTACTGAAACTCACTGGGACCATACAACGAGAAACGGGTTTCACTGTGGTAATACACACAGACAAGAGCATAAATTGAAGTTGAAAATCAGTCAGTTCAAGCAGCTCCAAGATGGCCATCTCCTGTCTCTCTACCTGTTTCTCTCAAGCACATGGCTTCATCACCTCTCTCTTGCTTTCTGTCCATTTGCACTTTTCTCCTCTTGCCAACTTTTAGACTTTATAAAATTATAGAGAAGCTTTATTTTCTGCCTATTTACTCACATTCTTCTTCCTCAAAAGTTTGACTTGCCTAAGATCTTCATGGTTCTGACGAGATTTTCATGGCATCTCTCTCTTAATCCTTTCAGCTGCTGCTACCTGATTCTGGTTCGCATTCAAAATCTTGAGAGAAAGACCGTGATTGGCCCAGCTTACCTTTTCACACTAGATTACAGCATAGGAAGTTTTCATATCAGGACTGTGTTCTCAGCCACTACGAAGTGGTTTTTCTTTGAGTTGCTGCTAGAAACATTCTAAGGATTCCATGAATTTTGGCCTATCCCAAACCAATGGGAAGATGATTTCTCATAACTCTTTATGCAGTCAGGAATTCCTTCCCACATACCTGTTTACCACAATTATTTGTTATCAGTTATTTCAGGCGCATAAAAGTGCTTCATTGCTATGTAGCTGACAGTATCTAGGTCCTTAAGCAATATGTAGTAGAGTCAAAAATTGTGAAAGATTTGAGATTTTATCCTGCTTGCAAGCTATGTTAGGTTGCCATAGTTTCATGGATGTGCAGAAGACACAGTCCTTCTTGGTCAGAGAAAAGAAAGTTTATTACTCACAGCAATAGCCATAGCCTAAGTATCCTCATTTTCCTGCCCCAGTTCCATGAGCCCCAGTTGCCACAGGTCAGTGTGACTAAAGCCAGTGGTGCCTGCACACAGGGTGGGTGGTGTTATAAGAAAAGATTCTCTGGTTTAAGACATTCTAATTATTTGTAAGACTGAAAGCACACCTGCACACAACCTTTGCTTGGGAGAGAGACATTAACTTTATTATTATAGTGGACAACAAACAAATCTGCTCTCCATCCCAGTGGGAGACACTATCTCTATTTTCCAAGGCCTTTTGCTGTATAAACATCTGTGAAAAGATAATCCAATATAAAAGCTGTCAGAGCCTCTGCTAGTGAAATATTCATGAGAAACCAGGAGAGAATTTTCTTACATCAGAAGCTTACTCCTTCATAGCCAAAGAGGAATGATCATTTATCTTCATAATTTGTGTAACCAAATGACAAGTTTAATTAACTTTTCTTTTTTTTTTTTTTGTTAATAGCAGGCCTTGCTCTTTTTTATTTTTAAATTGTTAATAAATTATAATCATAGGCTGACTCTCTTGATATCAAATATTTTTTTCATAAATAGAAAACACAAATTTGCATCAAAATCTTTATTTGGATAATCTTATAATATTCTTTTGATGAATATCTGCTAAACAATGTATTATATGAATTTTTGTTTTTATTCTAGGTTTTTGCTAGACTTCTAGCAATTTATTAAAATAAATGATACTATTATTTAATATTGCTTTAGATGGTTTGTAAAAATAAATTTGCATTCCTAATTTTTTCTAGACTTCTTACCAATTTATTAAAATACATGAGACTAATATTTAATACTGATATAAATGGTTCATAAAAATAAATTTGCATTCCTAATTTGTTGCAATGAAATTTACTATTTTTATGCAAAAATGTCTTATTTTATAGAATGGCAATAAGTAAATACTTTTATTGGCATCTACTAACAGTTTGCTGTCTATGTAGCTATTTTTCTGTGATTCGCAGTAACTTATTTTTTTTTTAAAAAAGAAAACAACAGTTTTATAGATGAGAGCTCCCTAAAATTAGACTTCTAACTAAAACTATGCATTTTTTTCATGTAAAAATGCCTATTTGGAGCAGTGATACAAAAGCTTATATTCTCATTCATGGAATGGAATGAACTAATAAAAATCAGTAAATAAAGATCTTTCTACTGGGTATTTTTAAGTTAGAGGATAATATTATTCCACAGGCATCATGGCCACTGAAAAGTCACATATTTTTGGTTTTGGTGGAACGCAAAAAAGCAACAAGCCTTGCATTAAGAAGTAGAAAAGATCTACAAATCAAATTACTAACTCTTAAAAGAGAAATAAGCTATTCATATTTTTATGGAAATCACAAGAAAAAGTTCTATATTAAGATACTCCCAATGCTTGAACAAATTATTTTCTATTATACAGTGCTTTTGTCATCACCTCAATATGAAAAATTATTTATCAAAAAGATCCAATCTATTAATATTCAGAATAAAAATATTATATTATTTAAGGAAATATAAATTTTGAAATAAACCAATATGCATCTTTATTTTATCTTAGGAAAGTGATGTTAGCCAATTTCCTGGTAAAGAAGGAAAGAAAAGTGAAATATATTGAACCCTTATTATAGATACACTAGACCTTTTCATATACATTATCTTAACATAAATACAACCTGTAAAATAAATACTATTATCAGTAGTTTTAAGAACAAGGAAATAATATCTCACTGCAGTTCTCACGGCTACTAACATGCCAAAATTCACACTCAGGCCTTGTCTGCCTCCAAAGCTCCTGAATTCACACGGAGTGCTGAGATTTATATTTAGGGAAGAGAAAGACAGAACTAATTCACATAAAGAATATCATAATCCTCCCTGCTTCATTTAATTTGTGATGCATGTCCCTGTAATAGAGCAGATTAGTAGAGTAGATCTTATCATGAGCACGTGATAATTCAGAACTTCTCTGCATTAAGGATGTATTCCTGCTGTGTTTCTCTATCTTCTTGCAAGTAATGCATAGGTAATACAGGCTCCAGAGTCAAGCTAAAGTTGAATACTTGCTGCACTGTTTAACAGCTGTGTGATGCTGGGCACATTAGGAAAACTCTTTATCTCAATTTCTTACTTGTTAAAATGGTGGTAATAAGAGTAATTTTTTAATTTTGACAGTTGTTGTGGGAGTGAAATGAGATAATACATGTGAAGCAATTTTAACATGCCTGCACAAAGTAAGCGTACACACTATCTTGTCACTATTCCACTCTTCTCATATACATGCATACATGTGAAAACTGAATGTCACTGGGCCAACCTTGGCTGTGCTGTGACATTACTAAACAAACAAATATAAGCATATCAAATTCCAAAAGTTCTAATAATAATATAGATCTTACTGAAGGGGTGGCCACACGCCATATAACAAAGCTTCCTAAAAACAATCTTTCAGCTTCTCTCTTCCCAGGTCCTAGGTAGGCCTTTATCACCCAATTAACTTCGAAAGTCCCCACTTCTTAATATTGATACATTGCAGATAAAATTTCAACATGAGTTTCAGAGGGGACAACCATTCACACCATAGCAAGAAGTCTCTAATTTGTCACATATACTGCATCCCAGAGGGTGAAACACTTCCCTTGGAGACTATTGCCTGTAAGCTGACACTTCAGATACACATTCAAAAAGCCATTCCAGGAGTTTATGAGGCCAGCTGCTTATGGTTGTGTGCTATGTGATACAATCAGTGGATTCCATAAAAAATGGGCCTACTGTCAAACTTCCCTTCATTGGTCGGATGATATGTGTTGTGAGATTTACTACCCGTGGATCAAGTACTCTGTAAGCCTCCAAATAGTGACGTTGGCTAAGACTCTGAAGGCGGGAAAAAAAACCTCTACCCAAAATAGGTAGCTATTTCCATAAGGATGAATTCTGGCCCTTCAAAGATGATGGGGCCTTCCACCTATGGTGGAAAATCATCTGCATGTTCTACTTGAGAAACGGTGCCATATTGGGGGTTCAGCATCAGTCTCCATTGCTGGCAAGTTAGATATTCAGAGGCAGCAGTAGGTTAGTTTTGGTAAGTGAGAATCTGTACAGTTTGGGCACATGCATATTTTCCATTTCTGCCATGATGCTCACCTTATCTGTGAGTCCATTGTGCCAGTTCTTGAATGGCTGTTGACAAAGTCTGGTCAAGTCACTTGGCTCACATAATTGTTCAGTGCCTTTTCCATGGTGGATGCTTTCTGGTGGGCACAAATGTGTGCTTTTCAAAATATCTTCACACTTCATGCCCATTCCTATATACCCACCTACATGCCTCTACCACCCATTTCTCTATCTCTGATTTTTTAATACTTTTCTTTCCAGTACTTTTCTGGCCAGGACATTAGCCACTGGTGAAAGTTTTCATGCCTTGTTTCTCTGGGGTACTTCTCTTTCCACAAAAGTGGAGGCCCAGCTTCACCACTCAAAGTGTCACACATTGGGAATATTTTCCACATCCGTGTTTACATATACACTACTCCCCCAAATATTTTAAATGTCAGAATCACCACAATGGCCAGGACATGTCCCATGTAACCTCTGGTGAAATATTCAGATGTCGGGCCACCAACCTGTGCCAATAATTATCTGCAACCCTCATACCACTTGCGGCAGTATCCTTTATACCAATTAGGCAATGAATGATCGGTCCACAGACCCTCATCCTTCTTCCTGCTCTCTCAGTCCATGTTCAACACTAACTGCATCAGATTAGGTCCTTCAGAAAGCAGACACCAAGTTGGAATTAGAAGTGCAAGAAATTTATTAAAAGAAACATCATGAAAAAATAAAGAAAAGAGGAAGCAGGAGTGGGCAGTGAGAGCCTACAGACTACTCTGTTGGTCTGACATTTGTGAAAGGAGATTGGCAGGAGGATTGGGTAGAAAGAACCTCTGACTGCAGTGCTGCTTTGAGAAAATCTTGGCCAGGCCAGTGGGGAAATTGCATTGTCTATCAGAAGGGCTTCACATCAGGCAGAAATATCTCAACTCCAGTGCCTCTGCCACATTCAGTCACTGACTGAGGGTATCCCAGGGAAAATGTGGTTTCGGTGTGAACACTGCGATAGATCCCAGGTATCTTAATACTTTTATCTAAAAGCCGGAAGAATTAAAGCAGAGATACAATTGCCTTTGTAAAGAAGCTGCAATCTCTCATGTTAATCAGAACAGGGGGCTGTTTAGTCCCTTTTATGGTTGCAGAGTCAACTTTTCTTGTCTGAGCATTGTTTATGTGAGTTAGGAACACCATGGATGGTCTGCCAGCTGAGCCAGTTTTTCACTTTCTCATGATCTTAACAGTGCATTATATTACCTTTTGTTGTCTTTGTGATCTACTAACAGGCCTTTAGTTACTTAACTTACAGGCAATACAGTCTGTTCACAACTATTTACCGGCATTTGATACTACGTTCCACCTCTCAATTTGGCTTCAACACACTTTTCTGATGGAATCACCCAGTGGCGCCCTACTCTACACATGTTCTCTTCTAACTGGGTGCCTTACAATTGCCAGACCATGACTTTGTTAATGCTCTTTCTTTGGCCTAAAAT
Organism: Homo sapiens; assembly: GCF_000001405.40. NCBI lineage: Eukaryota > Metazoa > Chordata > Mammalia > Primates > Hominidae > Homo > Homo sapiens. Next base: position 157,008,182 of record NC_000004.12, on the reverse strand, counting down.
AAGTTTGCCCATGTCATAGCTATTCATGGTCTTATTAATTTCTTGTTGATTTAACATGAAACACTAACTAACATTAGTACAAAGTAATATGCAACTCACATCATGCAGCTACAATAAAAGCGTTGACACGTCAATGAATGACTTTGACATTCTGGTGAAAATGAGTCACGGCACAAGAAAAGTTGAAATGTCCTGAAATCATACAGTTCACATTTGAAATAAACAAGATGGAGGTTTCCTTCAATGTTATCACAATCCTAAAAATTTACAACATATTGCCAATAACAAGTTGAAAAACTGAAACATCATTTCTAACCCACCAATAATAAGTAAACTTTGACCCACCATGCTATAGAAAAAAATGAGCAATTTCTCTTTTCTCTGTATAATTATTTCTCTATTCTAGCAGGTGTTATTACAAAATTGAGTCACAGGAAGAGGTGAATTTAGCTATACATCAAATTAATGTAGGAGAAATTTAATAGAAGGATGTGTCAGATGGTCAGTTTATTAAAATAGTGTATTATTTTTCTCAATTGTATAATGTTTGTGGAATTTGTCACTTTTTAAAAGTTTATGTTTCATGTGATTTCTTTTCTCTTTCTATACAAAAATGGAGTTTATTATCCAGTTTCATTTTTGTAATTTTGTTTTCTTTTAAAGAGAATGCCTCCAAATTGTATAAGTCCAGGTCTGCACAAAATCTGAATCCACTTCTGATTTCTGCATATATGTTAGAATCATCTAGATGCTCTGTACACTAGCAAAAAACTTTTAAACATATTAGTATGGGGTGCTATTTGTGTTTTAAGGTCAGTATGAAAGTATAGTTCTGGTGGGGATGTAAATTATAGAAACTTCCCAAAATAGCTGGGCGTGGTGGCTCACGCCTGTAATCCCAGCAATTTGGGAGGCTGAGGCAGGCGGATCACCTGAAGTTGGGAGTTCAAGACCAGCCTGACCAACATGGAGAAACCCCATCTCTACTAAAAATACAATAATTAGCTGGGCATGATGGTACATGCTTGTAATCCCAGCTACTCAGGAGGCTGAGGCAGGAGAATCGCTTAAACCTGGGAGGCGAAGGTTGAGGTGAGCCGAGATTGCACCATTGCACTCCAGTCTGGGCAACAGGAGCCAAACTCTGTCCCCCCAACAAAATAAATAAATAAAATAAACAAATAAATAAATAATAAGTTAAAAAGATAAACTTCCCAAAATAAAAATTCAAAAATTTTAATTACTCTGTGTTTTTCAAAGGAGAACTTTTTAGGCCTTCAAAATATATACCAGACAGTCTCTGTGGTCAGTGAGAGCCCTTATACAGTTACATCTTGACAAAAGCAAAGACAATTTTGTCCCTTTTGATATACTGGCATTGCAATAGAATAGAAAGATAATAGAGTGAAAATCACTATACCTAGTTGCTAGTTTCATTTCTACTATAAATTGGATTTTTATCTTCCTTTGGTCAAGATCTTAATCAGTCTCTTTATCTGAAAAACTAGAGGGTTGGTCAAAGTTTCTTGCTATCTAAATCATAGGATGATTATCATCAATTCACCAAAATATATTAAAAAACTACCATTACAAAATACATTCTGCTTTGCACTGTGACACAAAACCAATTAAAAATTTCAAGTATTGTAGCGCCTTAGTGAGTGCTCAGCATTGTGAGTCACTATCAGTGTTTGTCAAGCTCCCACTTAGATGTGTCTCTGAAAATTTTCTATTATATTTCTATATATAGAAATTTCTATAAAATTTCTATTATATTCAAGGCAACTCCATTTTTAGAGACAAAAATGGAGCTGTAACTCCAGGTCAATCAGGCTCTGTATTTCTAGTAACATAGAATCAAATAACAGAAGCTTGAATAAGATATAGATATAGATATAGATATAGATATAGATATAGATATAGATATATATTTAAGTAAAACAGATCCAGAGATAAGCAAGTCAGAGTTAGCAATGGAAACTTCATGAAGTCCTTATAGACCTAAGTTCATTTTACTTTCTACTCTGCCTTCTCCAGACCCATGATCCAAAATGGTTGCTGGAGCTTGTCATAGCTATTCTATTTTGTATTTTTTTTGTATTTTTTTAATATTTAAATAACCATTTAAATATGAAATTAAAATAAAATTTAAATAAATAAAAATTTAAAATATGTTTTATTTTTTCTATTTATTTTGTATTTTATTTTTATTTTGTATTTTGTATTGTAAGGGAATATGTGTGTTTGTGTATGTGCATGTGTGCGTGTGTGTGTGTGTGTTTTGTGTACAACGTGTGTGTGTGTTTTTAAAGTCTATTTTCTTTGAATTACGTATTTTTAAGTATATTTTCTCTAAGTGTCACACAACCATTTTTACTACAGTTTATTGGGTAAAATTTAGGCACTCAGCCTTAACTAGCTACAAGAGAGGATGAGGCATGTCCTCAATTTTTCCTGGACTGCAATATGTCCATCTAGCAGTAAGGTTGTTAATACCAACGAAGTAAGGATAGTGCTAGCAGTCTCTGCCACAGCACATTTACTTTACCTTCTAAGAAGTGATTGCAATTTTTACTCTTCATTTCCAAGAATTTGTCTGGGTCCCAGTATTCATCCTCTCTCTTAGGTTTTTCCTATTTTCTGCTCCATTGCCTTAACCTAATTTCTTTTCATTTTCAGGGAGAATGTCTGGTGATTCTTTTGGATATCTGCCTTATTTCTGCTTTGGCTTCTTCCCAAGACTGTCACTCAAATCATAGTCCCAACTTGGCTCAGCCACTTAAGCCAACTGTCACCATTCATGTGACCCACATTCCCATTCCCAAATCCAGCTCAGTTATTTACAACGTGAGCCTCAACCTAACACTCTGGCTCCGTTTTTCTCCAGGAGAGATTATCCACTAACAGCCCAAGCTTTTACAATGAAGACAAGAACTCTAGAGGAAAGCCTTTTCTAAATGATACTAAAAGATAAGTTTTCATTTTCTAGACCAACTGCTCAGTGACTATATTATTTCATTTTTACTTCCTTTATTACCAAAAATGTATTGAATACTTACCATACACTGGGCTTTGATTAGCAGAGCGTTCTTTTTCTCTCATATTGACACATTTTTACAAAACACATTCTCAGGACTTAGCAGTAAAAGTGGGTTAATCGTAGATAACTTTTCTCCTCAACAGAACACTTTGCCACATAAAACAAGAGATCACTGTGTACTTTCACAATGCCCTCCCAGTCTAACATTTCAATATTTCAAGACAGTTATAGCACATTTCCTTATTTATCTCCCTAATTCTTTCAACTCCTAGGCTTCAGTTGTTGGCAGGTATACTTTGGCACTTTCCAGTGGATATTCTTATACACCTTCCAGCAGGAATGGCTTCAAAGATTTAGTCTATTTACTGTTACTGATTATGCAACACATCATTTCTGACAGCCGTAACACTACTTCCTGGAATTATGAGAACACATTGTACTTAACTGGCAATTGATAGAAAAAGTATGAAAACAATTTATCAAGGAAATAGTCTATGATAAATTAAAAATAATTTAAACTATGTCTTATGTTAAATACTATCAAAATATATTTCAATAATCTAGAGGATAGAGGGGCAGAGAACATTTTTTCAAAGAGTAACGTGATGTAATATAGGCTTTTAGTTTCAATGAGATCAAACTCCTGGCTATAAGGTCAAATTCCTGGCAAATCACCAAACATATGAATTTTAATATGAGTCCTGGGGATCAGAAGGTAAAGAGTGACATTATCTGATGGAAAGGGCTAATTTTATGATCCTAAAAATCTGAAAAGTTAATTCTGAATGTCTTAGTACGCTGTCATCCAATTTTTTTAAATTAGATAAAATATGAAAAATGTACTTTTTCTTCTAGAACCTTGAAAACACCTCTCCTTCCCCTTTTTTTCTTTATCATCAAGGTCCTTCAAACAATTATTTATGATTTTTTTCACCCACTTTGTTATCATTTCTTCATTTCACTTAAAATTTTCTGTATAGTATTACCACAAGTATTATTTAGGATAGGATATAATGCAGGAATAAATAAATTCCAAAACTCTATTGGATTCACACACACACACACACACACACACACACACACACACGAAGGAGTGTATTTCTTGCCTACAGGAAGTCAGCTGCAAGGCTCTCCAGGGCAGCTCCCTTCCAAATGAGTCAGAGATCTAGATTTATCCTGTGGCTCCAGAATCTCCATATATAGCCACCATAGTCTAAGTGGTTGAAAAAGAATGAGGAGGATCATGCAACAGATTTTCATTGCCTCCATCCAGAAGTGACACATGGAAGTAATTTCCACTCACAAGCTATTGTCATAACTAATCACATGGCTTTGCCTGTTTGAAAGAGGACTGGTAAGTACAGTGTTTCACAAATCCACAAAGAAGAGAATTGGCTATCAGGAAGCTTTAGTAATGTCTACCATAACCCTTCATGGAAACCACCCAGTTTATTTTTAAATAAAACAATATAGTATTTCCTAAAGCCTTACATTTCTGAATTTTATTACCATTTCTTTCTTGGATTTATTATTACTGTTTCAAAATTTGTATACACTCACAACTCCTTTTTAACCCTTAGCCAAGGTTGCAGACATCTTTTTAATAAAATGAAAGCATAACAAAAATTTATCTTAGGCTCTGTGGTCTGCACCTCAAAGAATTCACCTAGATTTTTTTTCTAGCTCCTTATTCCATACATACTAGCTGTGACTTTGTGTCTCTGTTTCCGGTGAAGACTGGAAACTGTCTACCTCCACACTCAGAAAGGGCACAGAGAACAGAAATCACACTTTATTGTCCACATTAACAGGAGTTTGCTATTACACTGTCTTCATTAGCATAATTTTACTTTCCCTGGAGACTGTTGCACAGGTAAATGATCTGCCTGTTAATTCCAAGAACTTTCTGAAAGACCTATCAACTTTTCAATGGAAAGCATCAATAATTTGAGCCCTAAGATTCTTTAATTTCCTCTCTTCAAAATCCTCATGTTGCTGTTTCCAGCAGTCTTTGACTGTTATATGTGATCATTATGCGATCCTAATCAAGTCCCTGCATTGGAAGATCCAACTTAAACCAAACTTCTCATTTTCAATAAATTATGACCTCACCTTCTCCTGCTTTGAGATACTGCCAAAGCTCTGTGGAGGTGGTATTCCTCCTTACAGAGTAAGCAATAAACTCAGCTTTGCCTTAGCAATGGACTGAGTTGGTAATATCTGGGGAGCCAAGACACTTGATTTCTTACCTGGTTTCTGCCTTTTTGCTTCACTAATTCAGACCAAACCTTTGTGTAGAATGTCTTCTTTTTTCATAATTTAAATTTTACTACTGACTCCATCTTTTATTATTATTATTATTATTGTTATTATTATCTTTGGCTCTGCATTTAATAGCCAAGAGTTGGTCTACTCCAGACTTTCCCATTCACAAATCTGGCTCCTCGAAACTTAATCTGAATTTACCTTCACAAATAACTGCTTTTCTAAGAGAACAGAGCAGAACATTTATTCGAAGTCATGAAACCATGTTTTTCCAGGTTACCCATAGTGGATTGAATTAGTGTCTACCAAAAATTGATGTATACCAAGAACCACAGAAGGTGATATTATTTGGAGACAGTTTTTGCAGATAGTGAAGAATCAAGAGGAACTCAAACTGGATTAGGGTGAGTCTTAAAAATCCGATGACTGGTGTCCTTATAAGAAGTGGATGCGCAGAGATACAGAAGAGAAACACAAAGAAGAAGGCCATGTGAAGATAGAGACAGAGATTGATGATGCTGCTACAAACCAAGGGAGCCAAAGATTGCAGGAGTCACCAACAGCTAGGAAGAGGCTAGTAAAGGTTCTTCCCTAGAGCTTTCAGAGGAAGCATGTCCCTGCTGACACCAGGACTTGGGATTTCTAGACTTCAGACCAGTTAGAGAATAAATTTATGTTGTTTTAGGCTACCAGTTATGGTAATTGGTTATAGCAGCCCTAGGAAGCTAATAGAGATTTTTACCTACATTGGAAAAGTTGGAATCATCTTTCATTATTTTCTCTCCCTTCTCTACTCCTATCCCTTCTTGCTCCATAGCCAAAAGAAAAAAAAATTGCTGTCAAGTCACATAAATTTTACTTTCTAGTGGTCTTCTTATCTAAGTCTCTGTGCTTTCCAATCTAACCTTCATAGCTATGTTAGATTAAATCACAGAATTGTTCTTATTATGTAAATAACATTTTTTAAAAATTCTAATAGTTATGTTTTAAGAATTAAATACAAATTAATTAACTTGACAATTAAGACCCTTGAATGACTGAGCAATATTTCCAGTTATTCTAATCTAGAATCCATACTTTTTGTTTCCTTCTCCTTGAGTACTCTGTATCTTGTTATAATTTGTGAAAATCCAATTTTCTCATTGAGTCGTTTCTGATTATTCTAACCTAACATATTAACTCATTTTTAAAAATCCAATAGCTTTTTTGCCTTTAAATGAGGTATGCTTTGTCTTTAATATATTTGTATGTATCTTCCCCTTGTTCTGTTCAACTAAAATATAATTTATCTACAAAAATCTGTATTTTTTACTTATTTTGTATGTTATGCATATAGCAGACTTATGAATTAAGTTGGTATTTTTTCAGTGAACTTGAATTTGTTAACTAATTTGAAACTGGTAAATCCAGAGACCATGAAATATTGAAAACTTGAAAGAGAAGATACAATTAGCAAACTATTGATCATTTAAGATATGCCACAGAAGGGCAAACTTTCAACACCTCCTCTTTTTTACATAAGACTAACCTCAGTGTTTATTGGCATATTATATTAAACCTTATAATACAAAGAAACTTTTTAAAGCTGTATGGCAATTTTACAACTATCAAGTATTGGGTTATATATTTATCATTATCCTGTGAATTTTAAAGACTAGTATCTAGAGCAAGGAAATGTAGGAAAGATACCTGTGCTTCAGTGGAGAACTTTGCATTATCTAGACTCCAGCCACTCTTCTGGTTATCTGACTCCTCCCACCACAATGAAAAACAAAAACAAGACAGCAGTTTTGTCTATAACTGTGCCTTCTTTTCAATATTTCTGTTCTATAAATCTATCTCTTCTTTAGATTTTTTTTGAAACAGTAAAAATGCCTGCCTGATGTCCTTATTGATTATATGAAATCTTTAACATGTATTCATTTTTATATCTACAGGAGTCATGATTTTACTCTTGTTTTGAAGTTAACTTTTAACAGAAGTGGTTTTCTGTTTCATTCTTTCTGGCATTATTAGAAATCCTGTCTACCATGATAGCATTGGGAGATATACCTAATGCTAGATGACGAGTTGGTGGGTGCAGCGCACCAGCATGGCACATGTATACATATGTAACTAACCTGCACAATGTGCACATGTACCCTAAAACTTTAATAAAAAAAAAGAAAAAAAAAGAAAATAACATTCTTAGATATTAAAAAAAAAAAAAAAGAAATCCTGTCTACCATACATACCATAAGTAGAATGTTGGAAAAACTGGAAAATAATAACAGAAGGGTCACCAAAATAGTAAGAAAACTTCAAAACCTGTCATACATTGAAAAATTGAAAAAATTTGAGGGAAATTTAGTTTAAAGAAGAATAGTCTAAATGGGAAATGACCATTGTTCTCAAAAAACCTATAGGGCTACCATATGGATAAGTGAGTTTTCCGATTCAATCTTTTATCTGACTTTCAAGAAACTCCGATACTAGACTCTGACACTTCCATGGAAGAGGCAATCACCAGTGACTTCACTCACCCCTAAACCCTAAGGAACACAAACTCCCAAGTACTTGGTCCTTGTGTTCAGAGAGAAGGTCTGAGTTTTCGCAGCTTAGCAAACTCAGGAAAAGTGAGCTTTATGACTGCAATTTTTGCTCTGATTTCCAAGTAACTCCAGTCCTAGACACTGACTCTTCCAGAAAGTCAAACCAAGCTCAGGTCAAGTTTTATGAGTTTTTAGATGATAAATTTGAAAAATTGTGTGAAATTCACATATAGGTAAATTTTGACTCGATGTAAATTCAAACTTTTCAACACTTAGAACTATACAGAAATGGTTTGGTCAGCTTTGTGATATAAGGATTTATTTGTCTCTAAGGGGTATTCAAGCCAAGTTGGAAAAAATCTTATTAAAGCTCTTTTACTATTGATTAAATTATTGCCTGTAGAATTGGACCAGATGCCCTATGGAGAATTTTAACCCAGAGTTACTAATTTCATGATTAAAGTACACCTTGGTTTTTGTATGTGCATTTAAGCTCTGGGATCACCAACACCATCCTAAATATGCTCTCCTAAAGTTACTGTAACTCACCTATTGTGAAGTACATGTTAAGGTGAGACTTCTCCCATAGTCTAGGAGTTTTGTCCCAGAATACAAAGCCGATGACAAGGCATGTTAAGAATCTTTGAAGTAGTTGATTTAAGATAGTCACTTGTAGAAAACGGGATGCTTTTCAGCTTTCCAGAAACATAAAAACGTATCCTCTCATCCAACTGGTTATTTGGTAAGCTGCAGAAATTTAGGTATTTTTAAACACAGGACAAAGTACTTAGTAGTTTCTGACCCTCTGGGTTCATATGAGAGTGATTGGTCGAGACCTTCATAATTGATTATTTCCTAGAAGAGTCTAGGATTGGAGTTGCTCAAAATTCAGAGCAAAGATTGCAGCTGCCAAGGGAGAGGCCAGACCTTAAAGAATTCTGTGGGCAAAAGAAGTGTAATGTTTCCTAAAGCCAGAAGCAATAGCTTGGAAAGTAGCCAGGTGTGAGTCATCAGAAAAGAACGCTACACTAACTCCTGCTCCTCTGTGAATACCACTGGGGCAAGAGTTGAGTGACAATTGTAAGGAAAATGTTAGCCAAAAAAATGCATTGCTTGGTTAGGAAACAGTATTGTGTTAGAGAAGGGGGAGGGTGAAGATGGAAATGTGGAATTCTCAAATCCAACATGAGAGAAACTTTATTTGGGCATTTGCCATGACAGAAGGCCCATATTCCATATTGCAAGAGCACCAGTCCCTTAAGAACTTGTCCTTTCACTCTCATTCCTCCACCCTTTCCTCATCCTAGGGCAGCCAGCTGCAGCATGATGAGAAAAGAAGGGGTTGTGGAGGGACAAGTTGGGGAACCTTGTCCCTCCAGTGAGGCAACCTACTTACTCCTAGGCTCAACTGCAGAATTCATGGCTGCATCTGAGCTGGGATGCATTGAGAGACTGGAATTATGACATTCAATTGGAGCAATGTTTTAATAACTAAAAATGAGATTGTGCCAATATCTGAAAGGCACTGGAAGGCTGTGGTCTTTGTCTAATATATTGGTCAGGCACAGGGGATAAGAGCCTAAAACACGGGTTTATAGAGCTGAGGTGAGGGAAAAAAAAGTTGTGTTAAGCTGGCACTCCACCAAGTACAGCTAATTTGATAAACCTGCTTCATTTGTCACAGCAAACTTTCCTGTCCAAACATAAGCTAACCTTTGCTGGTGACTCAGTAAGGTATGGATCTGGTGATAAAATGCCCAATTTTAGAATTTTTATTTCATATCATTCAGTGAACAAGTTCACAGATTTATACTGTTGGGGAAATTCTTCTTTGCATAACTTGGTAAGATATTGAAGCTTTTTTTGTTTTCCGCCTTTGGCTTTGAAATAGAAAATGCAATAGTACATTTTGGACATTAGTTATTTAAGAACATTAGTTTAATTCATATGTTGTTGTGTGTCTGGAGGATTTTTTTTTTCTCCTCAACTTCACATAGGACATCCCACTCTCTATCCACTCTCAGTGTGGACATACAAAGGGGTGGAAGGGAATATTCATATCATAAAAGGGTTATTTTTTAAAAAGTTAATTGGAGGTTGATAGAGTTTGAATATTCATCCCTACCAAAACTTATGTTAAATTGTAATCCTCATTGTTGGAGGTGGGGCCTGGTGGAAGTGTTTGTATCATGGGGATCATGGAGATCCCTCATAGCTTGGTGCTAGTCTCACAATACTAAGTGAGTTCTCACAAGATCTGGTTGTTTAAGTGTGTAGCACCCCCCACCTCACTCTTTCTCGTGCTCCTGCTTTCATCAAGCGACGTGCCTGCTCCCATTTTGCCTTCCACCATGAGTAAAAGCTCAGTAAGTCCCCCGCAAAAACCAAGTAGATGCCAGCACCATGACTGTACAGACCGTAGAAGCATGAGCCAATTAAGCCTCTTGCATTTATAAACTACCCAGCTTCAGGTACTTATAGCAATGGAAAAATGGCCTAATACAGAAAACTGGTTCCAGAAGAGTTGCTATAAAGATAACTGAAAATGGGGAAGCAGCTTTGGAACTGGATAAAAGACAGAGTTTGGAAGAGTTTAAAAGGCTCAGAAAAAGAGAGAAAAATGAGGGAAAGTTTGGAACTTCTTAGAGGCTTGTTAAATGGTTGTGACCAAAATGCTGATAGTGATAAGGACAGTGAAGTCCAGGCTGATAAGGTCTCAAATGGAAATGAGGAACTTATTGGTAACTACAGCAAAAGTAATGCATATTATGCCTTAGCAAAGAGTTTAGCTGCATTCAGTTCATACCCTAAGTATCTGTGGAAGTTTGAACTTCAGAGTGATGATTTAGTGTACCAAGCAGAAGAAATTTCTAAGCAGCAAGGTGTTCAAGATATGGCCTGGCTGCTTCTAACAACCTAACTCAGATGTGGGAGCAAAGAAATGACTAAAAGTTGGAATTTATATTCAAAATGATAGCAGAGTGTAAACATTTGGAAAATTTGAAGCCTGGCCATATGGCAGAGAAAGAAAAAGCTTTTTTGGGGAGAGAAATCCAAGCAGGCTGTGGAGCAACCACTTGCTAGAAAGATTTGCATAACTAATAAGGAACCAGGTGCTGATAGCCAAGACAATGGGAAAAAGGTCTCAAAGGCATTTCAGAGATCTCTGAGGCAGCCCCTCTCATCACAGGCCCTGAGGCCTAGGGGGACTGAATGGTTTTGTGGGCCAGGCCTACAGCCCTGCTGCCTTGCACAGCCTCAGGACACTGCTCTTGGCATCCAGGCTGCTCCAGATCCAGCTTTAGCTCAAAGGCACCCAGGTACAGCTCAGCCACTGTTTGCTGGAGGCCACAAGCTATAAGCCTTGGTTGTTTCCATGTGGTGTTAAGCCTGTGAGAGCACAGAGTACCAAAGTGAAGGAGGCTTGGCAGCCTCTGCCTAGATTTCAGAGGATGTATGAGAAACCCTGGGTGCCCAGGCAGAAGCCTGCTGTGAGGAGAAGAAGCACTCACAGAAAACCTTTACTAGAGAAGTGTGGAGGGGAAATGTGGGATTGGAGCCCCCACACAGGGTCCCCACTGGGGCAATGCCTAGTAGAGCTGTGGGAAAAAGGCCACCACCCTCCAGATCCCTGAATGTTAGAGCCACAAGCGGCTTGTAACTTCAGTGAGGAACAGCCAGAAGGGTGGAGCTGCCCAAGGCCTTGGGAGTGCACCCCTTGCTTCAGTGTGCCCTCAGTGTGGGACATGGAATCAGAGGAGATTGTTTTGGAGCCTTAAGATTTAATGACTGCCCTATTGTGTTTTGAACTTGTGTGGGTCCTGTACCCCCTTTCTTTTAGCCAATTTTTCCCTCTTAGAATGAGAATGTTTACCAGATGCCTGTACACCCACTGTATCTTGGGATTTGATTTTATAGATGCACAGGTGGAAGGAACTCCTTTGCAAATGAGACTTTGGACTTTGGACCTCAGGCTTTTGATTGAGTTGATGCTGAACTAAGATTTTGGGGGATTGTTGAGAAGGCATGATTATATTGTGCAATGTAAGGAGGACACAAGATTTAGTGGGCCAAGGGCAGAAAGATAGTTTGAATATATATCCCTGCCAAATCTCTAGTTGAATTGTAATCTCCAATGTTGGAGGAGAGGCCTGGTGGGAGGTGTTTGGGTCATGGGGGTGGATCCCTCTTGGCTTGGTGCTGTCCTCGCAATAGTGAGTGAGTTCTCACAAGATCTGGTTGTTTAAGTTTGTGGTAACTTCCCTGTCCCCGCAGCCAGCCTCCACCAACCCTCTTGCTCCTGCTTTCAGCATGTAATGAGCCTGTTCCTGCTTCACCATCCACCATGAGTTAAAGCTCCATGAGGCCACCCCAGAAGCCAAACAGATGATAGTGTCATGGTCCTAACTTGGCCTTCTCTGCCACTCTGGGAGAATGGGGCAGTGGGATCAAGAAAGGGATGGCCAAAGGCCAGGAAAGCCGCTATGAGGGATTCAGAGGACTGTGGGGATGGGTGGGAAAAAAGATTGAAAAAGGGAGGGTCAGAGAAGGAATTGCTACAAGTTTCACCCCTAGAAGGAAGTCCCCATGTCTGGAAACTGAGGTAGCGACAATATGGAAAGAAATTGGAGCCACCCAAAAATCTTTAGCTCCCTTTGTACTCTGTGTGGGACAAAGTATCCCTCTGCTTTCCTTCTTGGCCTGACTCTAATTCTGTCCTCACCCTGCAACTGGAGTATCTTCCTAAAACATTGTTTGAATCAAGTCATTCTTCCTATTTTTCCTTGCCCCTAGGTCAAAGTCCCAACTCTAGACCAGGCTTGCAAACCCTATTTACCTCTCTAGCCTTAGTGTTGACCTCTCCCGTTCCTTAGTCCTTAAGAGCCAGATAAAATTGCATATCTTTGTTTCAATCCCCTTAGTAAGCCATGCTCCTTTTTGCCTTCAGGTCTGAACATATGATATTTTTTTCTTATTAGAATGTTCTCAGTATATGTATATTCTATAAATTCCAGCTATCTCTGCTTAGAAATACTTCTGTCTAGAAAAGCCATCCCTGCTGCCCAATCTGGGTTAAGCTTCCTATCTAATATTATTCAGATGCCTATACTTTTTCTTTCATAGTACTTGGCAACTTGTGCTAGAATAGCTTACACACACACCTGCCTCTTCCACCTGAAGCCGGCTCTGCACTTTCGGGGAGCTCTTCTTCACTAGTTGATCCTTAGTACCTAGCATTTACCTGGCACCCATTATATACTCAACAAACTGTAGTGAATGGTTGAATATTAGGTTTAGTAGAGAACACTAGATCGTTGAAACAAAAATAAAATTTGAGGTTCTTACCTCTGATAACAGAAACAAACCCTGTGTTGATTTTCTAATACCTCTTCTACAATTCTAGAGTTGATCTCAATCTCCATTTGATCAAATTAGTACAAGGACCTTTATCTGTGTTTCTGCGGTTTTCATATTTATTTTTTACAGAACTTCTACATTTTATTATAAATATTTAGTTATGAATCTGATCCCTCATTAGACATTCAACTGTTAAGAAACTAAACATATATTTCTTTATTTTTGTATTGGGTTACCCACATAGTAGGTATTCAATTAAGTGCTTGCCCATGTTTAAAGAGTACACTTACAAAAAAAATCCTTTCAGAAAAATAATTCCTCTAGAGGCTAACCTACATCATTACCTGTTTTTTTTTAATAAAACTCTTAAGTTATAAACCACAGTTCAGCAAAATATTTAAAGTGAGAACTAAATTTTGGTTTGTTAACCTTATTATGTGATATTAACAATAAAACACTGTCTTTTTATGCCTTTATATTGATGAGAAGGGAAAGATGTAAAAAATGAATTATTAATACCTTTAAAATATTAATTCACTTTATTCTAATACTTTTGATCTCTTAATGTATGACTTATAAGAAATAATAATTCCTTAATTAACACCTAAAAGGAAAGCATTTTCAGGCTTTTGTAGGTATATTAGCATATGTTTTTATCAAAAATTAAATAATATTGTTGTTTTTCTTACAATGCCCTGCAACTGGTAACAGGGAACATAATGGCTCACTGATACACATTTCTTATTTGAAATTTATTAGATTCTGGATGTACTCACTTGACTGAATGCCATGAGCGTTCAAGAAAACATTTATTAATCCTCTTCCATTCATCTGAGTAGGGCCTAACTTGTTGAAAAATACTTGTTATTTAATCAAAAACGTTCTTAGCAGTTTTTATATTGGCTTCATGGGACAAAGGGAGTAATAAAACATGAGTGACTTCAATTTGCATAATTGTTACATGTTGTACTTTCAAGAATTGCTTTTCTAATAGTTTCAAGATATAACAATAATTTATTGTTTTTTTTGCTTGTTTTGTTTTTGTTTGTTTTATATTTTTTGAGACGTCTTGCTCTGCCACCCAGGCTGGAGTGCAGTGGCATAACTCGGCTCACTGCAATCTCTGCCTCTCAGGTTCAAGCAATCCTCTTGCCTTGGCCTCCCGACCAGCTGGGATTATAGGCATGCAAGCCACCATGCCCGGCTAATTTTTATATTTTAGTAGAGATGGAGTTTTAACATGTTGGCCAGGCTGGTCTTGAACTCCTGACCTCCCAAAGTGATCCTCCCACCTCAGCCTCCCAAAGTGCTGGGATTACAGGTGTGAGCCATTGTACCCGGCCAATAATTTATGTTTTAATCTATGCTTTCACCACAACTATGTCCACAAATTAATATAGCTAATTTTGTTCTTAACAAATATCTATTCAAAAGTACTTTGTTATACTCAAAAGGGTCTTTTGGATATCAGTCCTTATACCAATAGGGCTGACATTACTCAAAATATGTTTGGGGGCTTCTGTATTTTAAAGTATATTTTTCTTGTGTTTTATGATCACATGTATATGCATTTATTCATTTAGCAAATATTTAATGAATATCTGCCATATGCCTGACTTTGGGATACAACTTCTTTCTCAAGTACCTGGGGAGTGGGGTGGGTGGTAAAGACATGTAAATAGATACTTATACCACAGTGTGGTCAATGAAATGATGGAGATGTTCACAAACTCTTCTGGGATCACATAGGAAGAGTCATCCAACTCAGCATGGGGATTTCCAGAAAGTTTCCAGAGAGAGAGACGATGGCTAAGCTATGACACTAGCCAGGGAGGAGAAATATGTACATGGACATTAGCCAGGGAGGAGAAAATTATAAATAAAAGTATGAAGACAAGAAAGCACATGATATATGGCAGGAAACACGTGCAGTTTGATATTACTGAACCTAAAGGCAAAGCTGCAATGTGGAGAGATGAAGGAAAAGAGAGAGCCAAATAGATTATTAAATCATGCCACATTATTTTGTAGTGATGGAGGGCAGTTGAATAATTTTAAAAAGGGGAATTACATGGTCAAGTTTGGATAGAAGAAGTGTGAATTTGAGAAAGATAAGACTAGAAACAGCAGGATCAATTAAGAGGCAGCTAAAATAACAGGCAAAGATAATGAAAGTCTTAAAGAGTGCAATATTAGTAGGACCAGAAGGGAGAGAGTGAATTGAAGAAACATTTAAAAGATAAAACTGACAACATCTGGGCTATGAGAGAGAGAGAGAAAGAACTGAGTGTGAGTTCTTAGATTCTAGCTTGGGTGGCTAATCAGCTACAATAATTTATTTTACAGAGACAGAAAGAAAGCTCATTTCAAACTGGCTTTGAAGAAATTTGACTAAAAATCCAGAGGTAGTTCTTGCTTTGGACACAAAGGCTCAAGTGCTCTTAGTGTCTCTGCCTCCACCGCCTCCTTGCTCCTTTTGCTTTCCCCTCAAGTGCTCTGCTGCTGCCCTGCCTACCTCACTGCTTCCCCAGGAGCCCTGGGCCTGCTGATGATCCACAAACAAAGATTTACACGTGGCCAGCCATGGGACCTTAAGAATCTTCTCCAGCACTATAGCCAATATGTAAGGTCTGTACAAGTTTTTAAATATCTCAATAGCCCTCATCCGAAATGGGACTCATGGCATGCCTTCACTTTATATTAGACGTAGGTAATAAAGAGTGCTTTTTTATATGAGATGATGAGGCTGATTAATCATATTTTGTGAGTGGGAATTGGAAAGTATTTTGGACACCATAGTAAGACGCATGTGTGCCAGTACATAAAACCTAAAAATGTTCAGAGGCCTGGCACATGCATGAAGTTTTAGGGGTCCAATTATCTGAGGTACACTATGATGAATTTTCCATTTTGAAAGACATGTTGTCATTATTTATATTTTCCTAGAGGCAAGCCTTGAGACAAGGCATAAAATGCAACAAGTTCAATTGGAAAGTGATCCCCAAAAAGCACCAGTAGAGAAATAGGAAACTGAATAAAGATATTTTATAAGCAAATTACCATGGTGTGTAAGTGAAAATTTGTCCCGTGGGAACTCTAGAAGCCAATGATGCTTGATCCACTTGAGGGGCAAAGGAGCTTAAATGTTTATGTGCCAACTCCCACTAGTAATTGGTTAAGAACTGCTCTTGAGGGGAGTCAATTCCCTGGCACTTCTGGGCTGTCACACAGTTCTGATTACCAAGCAAGTCAAAAAGTTGCATCTGCTGAAAGTGTGATGTTAATCCTGGAAAGGCGGGGTTGATGATGGGAGGACCATTCAGATCCACTTGTGCCTCCAATAAGTTTATTCTGTCCTGTTACTGCTTCTTCAATATGATGTCTGATAATAATTTATAATAAAAAGGATTACAGTAGCAGAATTTGTGGAACTGGATGCAGTCTCTGCTGCATCTGTTGGACTCAATGATTCAACTAACATTTATCAACTGCTTCCTTACTTCCTTCATTTCCTTCTTTTCTGGTAATCCTCATCCACAGATATTACTTCTAGTGTTCTAGTTTGCTTTCTCAGTGGCATAACACAGGCCTCATTCTTGAGGAGTTAGAGCCTCTGGCAACCGTGCCTCTGTCAAACAGTAGTTACTGTAATTGCCCACTTAGTACTATCATGAGCCATGAAAGCGCTAACATGCACTGGAGTGCATCTTTGGAGCTCCGTAATCCTTCCTCCTCTAAAATGCAGCATCAATCCTATCTCCTCATGCTAATTAGTGTCAATTTCTCCAGTTAGTATAGGAAACTCCTTTCTTTTATTTTGGTTATGTGGGCATAAAGAATCCAAAGTGACCAGGAGGCAGTCGTACTTTAGCAGAACTCTTAATATTGCCTTTTAATTCCTGTCTCTTATTTAGTAGAACTCTTAATATTGTCTCTTAATTCCTGACCCAACACCCAGGAATCAGGGCCTCTAATACAGAAGAGCCCTTCTACCCTTGATTCTGAAACCATATATTCTAGCTATGACATAGCTCCATATAATGGTCACAGATTTAAAGTATATATTGCCTTTTGAAGGTTAGACTCTCAACTCTACAAGGTGTCATCATCAAGCCGAAGCCTTAGCTACATCTTTACGAAGCTATTCTGACAGTCTAACAAAACAACAGCTTCCCAATCCTTCCATATATGGCAAGATTAGTGGATTCTATTATCAAATGTCCATTGTCTCACTTATTTTACCTTGAAAGGGGTCTCTTGGACTGGGGTGATGTTTTGTAGGATGATTCTAATCTAGACACTGTGAGCCTTTAGTAGAACAACTAGAGAAAATAGCCAATAAGGCCCTTGAAGATTTGATCAACACTATCAATCATCTTAGATAATAATTGCAAAGTGTTTATTTTTCTGAAGTTTGAACATTCACTCAGATAGACCATCTTATGAGGATGGCATTAAATTAATACCAAATCCAGAAAAAGACATTCCTAACAAAGAAAACTACAGACTATACACACAAAAATCTATTAAAAATTCAGAATTTTCCAACTCAATAAGAAAATATATAAAAAGAATAATATGCTCTGACAAAGTAAGATTTATTCCTGCAATTCAAAGTTGGTTTAACATTTGTAAATATATCATCATCTTAAAGGATAGAAGAGAAAAACCACAGTCAGACATCCGAGGATGTCTGAGGATTCCACATCTGTGGACTAAACCAATCATAAATTGAAAATATTTCAAAAAAGAATGTGGTCAGTACTGAGAATATACAGATATTTTTTCTTGTCATTATTTCCTAAACAATACAGTATGATTGTGAGGCTAGGGAAGAAGGATCACTTGAGACTGGGAGCTCAAGACCAGCCTGGGCAACATAGCAAGACCCCATCTCTACAAAAACTAAAACATTAGCCATTCAGGGTGGCACACATCTGTAGTCTCAGCTTATTGGTAGGCTGAGGTGGAAGGATTGCTTGAGCCCAAGAGTTTAAGGCTGCAGTGAGCTATGATTGTATCACTGCATTCCAACATAAATGACACAGCAAGACCCTGTCTTAAACAAAACAAAACAAAAAAAAGTATAACAACTGTTTATATTATATTAGGTATTATAAGTATTCTAGAGATGATAAAAAGTATATGTGAGAATGTGCATAGGTTATATGCAAATACTACACCATTTTATATCAGGCACTTGAACATCTGCAGATTTTGGTATCCTTGAGAGATCCTGGAACCAATTCCCCAGGATACTAAGGGATTAATGTATACGATTATCTAAATAGATGTATTTGATAAAATTCAATAAATTCTTAGCAAATTAAAAAGACAGTGGACGTTTCTCAAACTGATAGAAGTCACCTAGAAAAAAACCCACAGGCAACATCATATGTTATGGTCAAAGTCTGAATAAATAGTCTCTGAGATCAGGATCAAGGCAAGAACATATATTCACCTCACTTCTATTCCATGTTCTACTAGATGTTCTAGCCACTATAATGTCATAAGAAAATCAAAGGCATACAGATTGAGAAGAAAGAAAGAAAAATTATCTTTTTTACACTTGAATATTAATTTCCTAGAGGTTTTATAACCAAGTACCAATAACTGGGTGGCTTAAAACAAAACAAGGTATTTTTCAGGCTAAAAGTCCAAAATCAAGGTATTGACAGAACAATGATCCCCCAACATTTCCAGGGAAAGGTCTGGTCTTGTTCTTCCCAGCTTCTGGTGGTGGCTGTCAATCTTTGACATTCCTTGTCTTGCAGCTGTATAATTCCAATCCTTGCCTCCAGCTTTACATGATGTTCTCTCCGTGTGTCTGTGTCTTCATATGGCCACCTTCTTACAAAGGCATCAGTCATATTGAATCAAGATCCACCCTAATGACCTCTCTTAACTTGATTAAATCTGCAAAGATTCTATTTCCAAATGTGTCAGTTCCTTCTCACACTGCTATGAAGAAATACCTGAGACTGGGTAATTTATAAAGGAAAAAGGTTTAATTGACTCACAGTTCCGCATGAGCATGACGGGGTAGGCCTCATGAAACTTACAATCATGGCAGAAGGGGAAGCAAACATGTCCTTCTTCACAAGGCAGCAGGAGAGAGAAGTGCAGAGTGAAGCAGGAAGATGCCCCTTATGAAATCATGAGATCTTGTGAGAACTCACACACTATCACGAGAACAGCATGAAGGAACTGCCCCGATGATCTAATCACCTCCCACGAAGTCCCTCCCCCAACTTCGGATTACAATTTGGATTACAATTCAAGATGAGATTTGGGTGGGGACACAGAGCCAGACCATCTCACCAAATAAGGTCATATTCACAGGTATGAATGTGTATTAGAACTCGAAGTATCTTTTTGGGTGGCACATTCAATTCATAACAAGATGACATGATTGTGTACATAGAAAATCATAAGGAATCTAAGAAAGATCTATTGGCATTAGCAAGTAAATTTAGCTGGGTAAAAAAGGTCAATATATAGTGACATTATTTCAATTTACTAGCTAAACACAATTGAAAAAAAGAAGCTAAAAGATAAAATTCAATTTATTACAGCAATCAAAACCAAGAAATATTTCAGGGAAAATTTAACAAATATGTATGAAATCTGCAGACTGAAAAGTGTCAAACATTGCTGAGAGTAACTAAAGACCAAAATAAATGAAGGACATACTGCTCTCATGGATTGGACGATTTTACATTATTATGACGTAAATTCTCCCCAAATTGATCTGTAGATTTAAAGTAACCCTAATCAAAACTTCAGCATACTTTTTGGATAGAATTTGACAAACTAATTCAAATTATCTAGGATAATCAAAGCTTTAAAAAAGAAAAAGAACAAACCTTGAGGACTAACACTATTTGATTTCAAGACTCACTTTAAAGGTATAAGAGTTAAAAATAGAGTGGTATTGGGGAAAGAATAGACATGCAAATGGTCCCCCACTTATGAGAGTTCATCTTAAAATTTTTCAACTTTATGATGGCACAAAACCATCCTGATTTTGGCATAATATGTAGTATTAAAATATTACACGAGATATTCAATACTTTATTATAAAGTAAGCTTTGTGTTAGATTATTTTGCCCAAGTGTAGGTTAGTGTAAGTGTTCTGAGCATGTTTAAGGTAGATTAGACTAAGCTATAATGTTTGGTAGGTTAGGTGCTTTAAATGCATTTTCAACTTACTATATTTTCAACTTATCATAGGTTTTTTGGGATATAACCCCATCATCAGTCCAGGGAGGGCTTACAGAGGAGAATAGGTTTAGATCCAGGAAACAAATAATTCAGAAATAGACCTACATATATAGGTTCATTTGATTGTCAGTGAAGATGCCAAGGCAATTCAATGGGAAAAGTAAAATCTTTTCCAACATGGTTTCAGAACAAATAGGTATTCATATAGAAAAAAATAATTTTTAAAATTTTGACCGTATTTAAATGTCAACTTGAAATGGATCATTAACTTAAATATGAAAGCTAATCTATAAAACATTCAGAAGAAAACATAGAAGAAAATCTTAACATAAAAACAAAAACTCTGAAATAAAAACATGATAAATAGAACTTCGTCAAAATGAAAAACATTTTCATTTTGAAAGATACCATTAAGCAACTAAACAGGCTAACCACAGAATGGGAGAAAATATTCTCAATTAAAATTTCTGTCAAAAACTTATATCTAGAATACTTAGAAAACTCTCACAATTTAATAAGACAATGAAGCCCTAAGAGTCAGGGCTGAACCCAAACTGAAAACTACTGAAAACATAAAGAAATAAAATAAAACTTGTTGTGTTAGTTTTCCGTGGCTGGCATAACAAAATAACCCAAAATGTGTGGCTTAAACAACAAAGATGCATTTTCTCAGAGTCTGAAAGGTGAAGCCCGAGGTCAAAGCGTCAGCAGACTTGGTTTCTTCTGCAGTTTCCATCCTTGGCTTGCAGATGGCTTCCTTCTCACCCTCTTCCCATGGTCATTCCTCTGTCTGTGTATGTTTCTAGCCTTATCTTCCAGTGTGTCTGTATTAGTGTCTTATAAAGGACACCAGACAGACTGGATTAGGGCATACCCTAAAGACCTTATGTTAACTTAATTACCTTTTGAAGACTTTATCTCCAAATACAGTTATATTCTGAGGTATTGGATTGGGGTTAGGACTTCAATTTATGAATTCTGGGGGGACACAATTCAGCCCATAATACTTGTACAGACACTTCAGGAAAGAGTTATAAATAGTTAATAAGAGCAGGAAAAACAAAATACGGCAGAGTGAAACTCATTAGAGAGTCATGGGGCCATGAGCTGAGTGCGTCATGTCACTCCAGCCCCATGTCCCTTGGGAAGATCAGAGACTAGGGTCAGAAGCAACCTTAACAAGGCTCTCTTTGAGTTGCAAGGAGGTGAATTCCCAGAAAACAGAGCTGCTTGAGGTCAGACGGGGCAGGGGATGCTGCAGACCCCACCCCTGGGGAGGAGTTCAGGGGAAGTCTCCTAAGTGAGAGCTTGGAACGGATTCAGTGAAATGAGCTCAACAGCTAAGGTTAGGTACCCCACATGGGGTCCTCATAACTGCTGTCCTCCATCCTCTTTAGAAAGAGACAAGAACAAAGAAAAATGAAAAGATGATCAACACCATCAGGCACTAAAGAGATGCAGATTAAAACCACAATAAAACATCACTACACATTCGTATGAATGACTAAAATTAAAAATATTGAGAATACCAATTGTAGAGCAAATATAGTTCTCATATACTGCTGATATAATTATAAAATGGTAAATCACTTTGAAAAACTGGCAATTTCTTAAAGTTAAATATACATCTACCAATGAACCTACTAATTCCATTCAAAGCTGTTTACCCATTGGAAATGAACATATATGTCCTTATGAAGATTTTTACATAGCAACTTTATTTATAATAGCAAAAAAACTGAAAACTACTAAAATGTTCATTAACAGGTAAATGAATAAACATGACATAATTACATAATATAAAGATAAAATCAAATGCCTGCTAGTAATGAAAAATAATAAAGTGCTACACACAGCAACAATGATGAAACTTAGAATCATTATGCAGAGTGAAAAAAAGCCATAATCAAAAGAATACATATGGTGTGATTCTACTTACACAAAATTCTAGAAAATGCAAACTAATCTATATTGATAAAAAGCAAATCAGTAGTTGCCTGGGCATCAGATAAAAGGAGGTAACGACTACAAAATGACAAAAACAAATGTTGGGGTGATAGAAATGTTCTGTGTCATCATTGTATACATCTGACAAAACTCATAAAATTATACACTTAAAATGCATGCATTTAGCTATATATAAATTATAATTCAGTTCTGGCATGGTGGCTCATGCCTGTAATCCCAACACTTTGGAAGGCCAAGGTGGGCGGATCACCTGAGGTCGGGAGTTCGAGACCAGCCTGGCCAACATAAAGAATCCACATCTCTACTAAAAATACAAAAATTAGCCAGGCGTGGTGGCGCAGACCTGTAATTCCAGCTACTTGGGAGGCTGAGGCAGGAGATTCACTTGAATCCAGGAGGCAGAGGATGAGGTGAGCTGAAATCACACCATTACATTCCACCCTGGGTGACAAGAGGGAAACTCTTTCTCCAAGCAACAACAACAAAAAATTTTTTTAAATCTCATTGAATTATACATATATATATATATATATTTTTTTTTTTTTTTTTTTTTTTTTTTTGAGACAGAGTTTCACTCTTGTTGTCCAGGCTGGAGTGTAATGGCATGATCTCGGCTCACTGCAAACTCCGCCTCCTGGGTTCAGGCGATTCTCCTTCCTCAGCCTTGCGAGTAGCTGGGATTACAGGCCTACACCACCACACCCGGCTAATTTTTGTATTTTTAGTAGAGATGAGGTTTCACCATGTTGGTCAGACTGGTCTCGAACTCCTGACCTCAGGTGATCCACCAGCTTTGGCCTCCCAAACTGCTGGGATTACAGGCGTGAGCCACCGTGCCCAGCCAAGGGTTTTTTTTTTTTAATGTGTTGTTTTTTGTTTTTTTGTTTTGTTTTGTTTGTTGAGATGGAGTCTCGCTCTGTTGCCCAGGCTAGAGTGCAGTGGCGCGATCTCGGCTCACTGCAAGCTCCTCCTCCCGGGTTCAGCCATTCTCCTGCCTCAGCCTCCCGAGTAGCTGGGACTACAGGTGCCCGCCACCACGCCCGGATAATTTTTTTTTGTATTTTTAGTAGAGGCGGGGTTTCACCGTGTTAGCCAGGATGGTCTTGATCTCCTGACCTCGTGATCCACCCGCCTTGGCCTCCCAAAGTGCTAGGATTACAGGCGTGAGCCACCCCGCCCGGCCTTTTTTTAAATTATTTTTATAACATCTGCAAGTCACTCTTCATTCTCATTTCATTTTAGCTCCAATTATTACGTTACCACTAAAACATCTTTTGTCAAGGTCACCAATAACTTCTATGTTTCCAAATCTACTGTATAATTTTTCTATTTTCACTATTCTCTATTAGATACACTCCACATCTCTGGCTACTGAAAATGCACTTTTTTTTCTCACCTTTCACTGTCCTGTTTTTATTATTACAACACATTCCTGTATTCATTTTACCCCGTAGAGTTGGCTTTTCCTAGTCCCTTTTACTTAATCATTCTTCTTGACCCAAGGTCTGCATATTAGATATTCTCGAGGCTATTCCTGGGCCCTTTTCTTTTCTCCATCTACTCTATCACCATTGTCTCCCAGAACCTAACACAACGCCTGATATTCATAGTTGGTACTTGTTGAAGAAAAGGAGTAAATAAAATAGTAGAAATGCAAGCTCAGAATACATCAGTATCAATATGCTATTATGATTCATGATGTGAAAAGAAATATCCAAGAAGTTAATAATGACACTTTAATTCAAATAGATGCTACGAAGTAAAATTTTATCTGTCTCCTCATTCTAAAAATAATTTTGGTTAGTATACTCAAACCAAATATATCTCTTATTTATTCAAATTCCTGTCTATGATTCCTTTTATGTTACAGATTACAATACACATCAAATAAGTGGCAAAGTTAATGATATGAGACAGATGTGGCTATCTCCCAAGCCTACATACAAAATAATAATTTGAATATTTTTAGAGAAAAACAGAGGATGTGATTTACTATCCATAAAAACTCAGTTTATTTGTCTGTATTGTTGAAATTAGCTATGTTTTCTTTGAGAAGGAAAACAGAAAACATATGACTTCAAAAAATATTTTTAATATGATGTCTAATTCTCAACAATTCTAAAGAAGCTGGACAATAATATTTTAAGTTTATGCATACATGATGGTTGCACTTCTTTTAAAATATGCCTAATAGTCACCATAGTAACAGATGCAGAGTCTCCTCTATGTGCCTCCTGGTGTTATCAATGTGAATAACAGCACAGTGTTAGAAAGGCAAACAACAAATTCATAGCAGCACATCATGAGATCAGTTTTAATAACTGTAGTGTGTTTAATTTACATTTAAATCTAGAAACGATTAATATTTATTATTATTATCATATAATGATACAGAAAATATTTTCTTTTGTATCTAGAAAATATTAATATTAATGCAAATATAATTTGCATATGTATAGAAGAATAGACAGATCCATCAATCAATATCCTTTTACACTACTCTGTGGAGTTCAAACAATATAGTCTTGTTCCTGCAGGGCCACCAGCACAGGCCAAAACAGAAATTGGCCACTGACATAACTCATATTTTTATGAAAGGATAATGACTAAAGACAACATAAAAATCCTAAATTGTTAAACACTTAAAGAATAATTGGGATAACAGATTTTTCTTAAAAAGGGCATATTTTGACTAGAAAATCTATCCTTCTTCCTTGAGAGCTTCCTTCCATTCTTCTTTCTTAGATTCCACATTCTTTTCCCTGCTCCTATATAAGCTTTTGTTCATTTCCTTGTTTTAAATAATTTTTAATATTTTTAGAGTTATCTATACTCTTCGTCTGGCCAGAAATGTCTTCAAGGCCCAAGTAATATTGCCTTTAGCAATTATCTTTCTGCAAAAAAAAATGAGAGAATATTTTGGTAGAAAACAAATAATTACAAATTGAATTAGAAGATGTTGGAAATGGAAGGCATCTTGAAATCAACCAGGGTGAATTACATGTTTGCAGTGATAGAAACCAAGGACCAGAAAAGTTGTTGTTCTTGTTGTTGTTCTTCTTTGTCTTCTTCTTCTTTTTGTTAAAGTCACATATCTAATTGGGATAGAACTCAGAATTTCTGCTTGTGAGTACTCTCCAGGGTACCGTGGTGTCCATTGTTTTGAACCAACAATTGATATGTTTTGAAACGTTTTTTGAACTTTCAAAATTAAATTACTAATGAAAACTCACTCTCACTTAAAAAATATGTGCTAGCTTTTCCCTATGAAGCTTTTTGCCTGATCATTTCATGAGGGACATTTAAATGGAGTAGTGGTAAAAACTCCATACCATGTCAGCTGCAAATGTGTCATTTCTGCATATAAAATGTATCAGATGAAACTTGCTAAGGGATAAGAAAAATATCATCATAACCAGTATTTTATATCATGCTTAATAGAATAAATATTTATGAGCTTGAAAAGTCATTAAGTAGTTATATTTTATCTGAGCTCATTAATGTAGTTTTTACTACTCTGCAATGAATTTATTTATTCAGTATAATAAAATATCAATATATCAAAATAATAAATCATTGCCAGATAGGGGAAAAAAGTGGCATGTTTGGTTCATCCCATAGCAGTTTTTCTATTTTTTTGACATTAACTCAGATCTGAAGTCTAATATCATAGTAAAAGTAATTTCTAAAAGCACATGAAATGTAAAATAAATTGTCATTTAACTAATTTACTTTAGGTATGAATAGTCATAAAACCGCAACACTTCATATCCCATGTGAGCTTCGTGGCTCTTAAAATTTCTTCTGTCCAGGCAGCCATAGGCATCAATTATTTAGAGACCACATTCACACACAAATATACATTTTAAACTGTAACATGAAAACTTCAAAACTAATAAAAAAGAATTATATCTGAGGTCATATTTTCAAAACATGAAGAAGATACTTTCATAGAAGTTATTTTCCAAAATGATGACATCTTGGATATGACAGATTGGTTACTAAATAGACAGAGACTTGTGAACCATCTGCTATGTAAGATTTCTCTATCAAAAAGAATTAACTCTATTTAAACCAGTCAGACAATATGAGCATGGGCTGTTTGCCAGTCCTGAGAAATAATCTTGTAATATTGGAAAGAATGTTAACACAGTATTTATGAAAAGACAAACACAGCATTGCTTCCATTTTGGAAAGTACCTACTGGATCCTCTTTCCAATTCACCGAAAAAATGGAGTTACATGCATAATTTTCACTTATGTGTGAGCTTAGAGGTTCAGTACAGCTTGACTGCTGTTTTCCATAATTTAGAGCTTCCTTTTACAAGATCCCCAACTTTGACTGACAGCCAAGCAAGAAAATGAACTCCACATGGCTCCAGTCACCCTAATTATGTCAGATGTTGCTGCTCTTCCTTCTATTTTTCTTCCATGAAGATTTAGCGTGGGTATATCTGCATTTTGGTGACTTCATATTTTTGTTAATTTCACTCAAAAAATAATTAAAATGCATGTTAAACGTGGAGCACCACATATACAATGTCCAACACTGGAGTGAGGAGGAGGAGGAGGAGAGATGGTTGGCAGATTAAAACAAAAAGAGGAAAGGAAAATTTCTGCTGTCAAAGATTTTGTAATCAATTGCAGGGAGGTATATCAGCAAAGCTATAAAATATAACGATAATATTGGGCAGTGAGGTTGAGGATTGGCATACAAAATTTTTAGAAGGTTAAGAGAGACTCATCCTGGTATTGTGATGGCAAAAAATAGGATGGACTATAGAAAAAGGCTTCTTTATTTAGTAAAAATAATTATTTAGTATTATATTGATTTTAAGATACCATTGCTTATAAAATTCCCCATTTAATTAAAATAGCCTTTTGGGAAGAAAAAAAAATAGTTGTTAAGTTTCTTCTTACATTGAATGTAAGCTATCTGAATTTCAGAAATGTTAAAACAGAAAAAAGTTTATCTCCTAATTAAAAAGAATACAATTACACAATCCATTACATGTTCTGCATGTTTAAAACACACAGGTCATTGTGTCAAAGGCTTCACATACTTTGTCTCATTTAATTCTTATTATATCTGAAGTAGATTCTGTTATTATCAGTTTGTAGTGATGGTGGGTCTCATGCTGGGGAATATGATTGCTGGTATTTGTTTCCTCAGTTTAGGTAAGGGGCTAAGATGTTAGCTTCTATGTTTGACTCCAGTGCTTGGATCTTGGCTGGGAGTCTACACTGCCTCCAAATACTAGTTGAACACCCTCTGTTACATGAGGCAGAGTGATGTAATGGTCAAGTGCATGAACTATACAAGCTAAAAACCCAGCTCTGCCACTTATCACTTGTGTGGTTGTAAATGAAATGCTTAGCCCTCAGTAGCTCACTTTCCTCCGCTATAAAACTATTATGATTTTATAATATCTATTTCATATGTTTGTTGTGAGAATAAAGCAGTGAATATACATGAAGTCCTTAGGACAGTACCTGGCACATGGGGAGACTTAGCAATTATTATTTGATAAGTGCAATATGTTAAGTGCTGGGAAAAAAGAAGATGAATAAAAAGCAAAATAGGGTCAGGTGCAGTGGATCACGCCTGTAATCCCAGCTCTTAGGGAGGCCAACGCAGGCAGATCACTTGAAGCCAGAAGTTTGAGACCAGCCTGTCCAACGTGGTCAAACCTCACCTCTACTAAAAATACAAAAGCTAGCCGGGTGTGGTGGCACAGGCCTGTAATCCCAGTTACTCCAGTGGCTGAGACATGAGAAACACTTGAACCCAGAGGCGGAGGTTGCAGTCAGCAAGGCCAGATCATACCACTGCACTCCAGCTTAGGCATCAGAGTGAGACTCTAAAAAAAAAAAAAAAATCAAAATAGAATAGACTTATATAATATATTGGGTTATGCATCATTGTGGAAGGAGCATAAGAAAAGATGCAAAAACTAAGTAGGAACATGTAAGTTGCCGTATGTCAGGAAACTACAAGACACTCAGAGAGTGTGAGATTTGGGCACTTAAGGAAGAGCAGATCATTGCTAGGAGTATAGATTTTATTCTGCAGGCAAAGGAAGACTGAAAACTTTGGAGTAGGGCATCCTGATCAGGTTTTTGTTTTAACTAGATCAAGCTGATAATCTGATGACAGTTTGGAGAAGCATAAAAGTAGCCTAGGTAGAAAGCAGTTGGGAGGCCTTTGTGCAAGGAATAGATAGATCATGGGAGAAGATAGGGTGTATACTTAACATGGGAAAAAGCAAATGCAGATTGATGGGATGTGCAAAAATAAGCGGGAGAAATGGTGAGGGCAACAATAATGCATTTTTACTTCCACTGTAACTTCTTGGGCTCAACAGGTTGCTTTAATGTTTCTGACAAATAGCTATTTTGATAAAGTTCAAGATACTCTCAAGGTTAGTAGTAACAGAACTGCCTCCCCCTTACAATCTCACCTTCACCAAGAAAATAGCCAGTCATCGCACTAACTTTGATTTTTCCTGTTATTGTCCTTCAGAAACGTATTTGAATACACCTTTTGTGTTTCCTTCATCATAAGTTGTCAGAACCAGCAACACTTTAATGGTGATTTTACGGCAAGGTTTTACTGCTAACAAAGGGCACCATATAATCATTTTTCCTTCACAAGGTTTCAGAAGATTAATTTTTCATTTCTAGACCCA
The DNA here is from genome assembly GCF_000001405.40 of Homo sapiens. Lineage (NCBI taxonomy): Eukaryota > Metazoa > Chordata > Mammalia > Primates > Hominidae > Homo > Homo sapiens. Next base: position 156,979,107 of record NC_000004.12, on the reverse strand, counting down.
CTAAAGAGAGTATTCAATCGAGATACAGTATTGCGACGTTTTCATTGACCGAATGCCTGTTTCCTGTATGCTTGAGGCATCCTTCTTTGGATATCAGACAAAATCACTATGATTTATTTTTTGTGATTGGCCATAGAATTTTAAGTTACATATTTATGACTGGAATTGTGTGTAGTCATAAAATAAACACCAAATGCTTAATATAAATGTATACTTAATAAGTTTGAAATGTGTTTTTTAAGACACGGTATATTTATCACTTGCTAGATGACATGAGGCAATGCAAACATGATACTTTAAAGTGCCAGTTCTAAAACCAGTTATCTGAACTCTAAGTCAGGCTTCTATACTTATGAACTGTGTGACCTTGGGTAAGCCCAAAAACCTCTCTGTGGCTCAGTTTTTCATGTTAAAAATGGGAAATTCTATTAATATCTACTCAGAGTTTTTGTAGTTAATTTATCAATTGTTTAATATGCAGTACAGGATTCCCTTTCTAGAGTAGTTCATTGTGAACATTTCAGTAAAAGGAGTTAAAAATGTGATGGATCTATAAGATATTAAATGAAAGTAGGCAGGCTACTGTATTCCCAGACCAGGCAATAGTTAATTTGTATACCAGACTAAATAGATTCTGAAAAATGAGAAATTTCTTCCCGTTAGCAAGTTAGGCATGCTGGATGTGGGTGTATACAGTGATAATAATCTTCTGATGGAAATCCAGATAGACAGAAAGAAAGAATATTACGAAGTGCATTGACTTCCTAAAGTACTGTTTTTACTGACGCATAGTACATAATAATTTACCTCAATAAAAATAAATAATAGGAGCTATGGCAATTAGCTGTGTCCACATTTTTCTATTTAGTTTTACGTGTGTTTTAAAAGCCATTTATGAAGGAAATAAATGTAAAGAATTTTTTCCACTTGCTGTCCAGTGGGACAAAAATGGCACCATAGGGTCTTTTCATATGGTATACCCCTTCAAATACAAATGGAATGTATCTATGGAATTAGAATTTCAATTGAAGACTTTTGCTTGCCTGAGGGCTTAACAAGTCACTAGTCCCTTCATGCAGCAGTCTTTGTGCTTTGAATAACTCCAACTAATCTAAAATACCTTTGTAAAATTATCAATAGGGATGCAAATTTGCCTCACCATGCCACTTAAAAAACTCTTGGACTAAGTATTTTAAATTAGAAACATGTGGAAGGATGTCTATAGGAATTACATATATAAGAAAGGTCTAGATTCTGACATCTATAGCTAATCACAAATTGATTCTTCAAAGGGAGTAACTGGGAAAACAGCATATTTCTTCCTAGCCATGATGCTTCAATTCAGTAGCAATCATGAGTAGAAAAAGAGGAATGATAATTCACTCCCTTTGTCCTCAAAGACAAGGAGATAGATTCTTTGAAATAACTGCCCACAGATGGTCTAGGCTTAGACATTGGCCGGATGACTAACGTTGGCCAGGATAAACAGGATACTCCCGCTAGCCCACGCCTTGGGTGGGCTTCAACCCCAAGGCTAGCTGCCCGAGGCCTTAGTCACTATCACTGCCTCGGGTAACCCATATTCATTTTGACTCAAACATTTTATTTAGGCTGTCCAGTCAGATAGCTGTGTAATGTTGTAGTAGTATTCTTGAACACCTCAGGTTAAACATAGGGGAAGACATTCAGTCATTGTGAAGAAAACTTAGAAGAGAAATGTAAGAAAGCTTCAGGTAAGATGTTTTTGTCCAAAGTCCAGGGCTTAAAGGTGTCAAATTGAAAAGGAGTAAAAGGAGAAGACCTGGAGTTAAATATTAACTCTACCTGTCATTAATATTGTCACTCTGGGAAAATTAATGCCATCTTTAAGGTTCAGTTTCTCTGCCGTAAAATGGGAAACCTATGACCTTCCTTAAAGGAGAAGCTGGAAGATTAAATGAGAAAATATTAATATATTTTAATGAATCTACAGTTCCTGGGACATAGTAGGTGCTTTTAAAGATAAATTTAAGCAAAAGTAATTCTCCCCTCACTTTAATTTTCCTTGGTTTGCCTTGGTATAACTATAAATCTTTTTGAGTAGCCTGCAAGAGGAAAACATGGCTTTTTGTCCTCCTAATTTCTTGTAGGACAATTCAAAGAAGATTTAGATGATGAGAAAGAAGAGAAGGTGGTACAGAGGATGAGGGAAACACAAAGGGAAATTGTGCTGATAAAAACAAAATTTGGGAAAAGAAAATGATCCCTTAAGAGTGTTGCAAGTCTGCTTTAAAAGAAAACAAGCAGATTTATTACTGCAAAGATGATAAGGAAAGCAAATAGTAATAATCATAATAGAAAGGGGGGTCTGTTGATCTATCTTGAACTTCAAAAGCAGTTGAGGATACTTTTAATATTAGATTAGTTAAGCCATATTTTCCTTTCTTCTAGCCAGCCAGCAATACTTTTTGATGTTCACTGTTAAGTAGTGGGCTGAGACTATCCACCTCTTTTACAAAGGCTAGTAGCCAAGGAAAGGACTGCATTTGAAACAATGATCACAAAGTGAAAGGCTCCTTCTCCCATGACCTTTGAAATAAGAAGGTCACTATCTGAGAAAGGAGGGTCTGTAGCTGTGTCTTGACCTCTTTACTATGATTTGTCACAATGGGGACAACAGCCTTCATATCCTACAAATGATTTCAAGAGAGAGAAAAATGACACCTTATTGACTCTAAGATATGGACAAAGATAGTGTTGCTGTCCATGTTCTTAGGGGATACCCCTTGCTCTCCAGATTGTTTCACATTCCACCAGTGTGACTCAATAGAACAGTATGAGTTTGACCATCTGTTCTTGGCTAACAACAATATTATTTCCTTAGTGTTTACAACTCAGTTATGTACAATAGCTATTTCTTTTTACCTTGACACTCCGCTTAGGACTGCACTTTGCCTCTTTCGAGGCTGTTAGCATGATAACAACCAAATATTGAAAAGTAAAATATGAATACCTGCACCTATTGAAGGCCTGGGGATTTATTTGGTTTCCTTGAATTCCATGATATTCCTGTATACTTGCCCTAGCCAGTGATTTCCAAACTCTGTCCCCTCTTCTTTTTGATTACCATTAGAGCTTGGTTTTTCAAACTATGGCAATAACAGATACAATAGTACTGCTCTAGTTGAGCAAGTTTAGAAAGAAGAACCTGTTCATTATCTCTTTTGCCAGCCACGAAGACATCTCTGATATGAGGCTAGGAAACTTGTGCTAGTAATTTTTTATCACAGAAGCACACTGAAGATGAAAAAGTCTTGCCATCATTATCTATAATAGCTCAGAGAATTTCTAAAGCAGTAGGGGGATCAAGACAGAAGCCAGTGGCGATTCCTCATGTAAGGAAAAGGAAACTGAGGGGCAGAGAAGATTTCTAGATCAAGGTTGTACTGTTTATTAGTGGTAAAGCCAGACTAAGCCCCTGACCTCCCATCTCCCAGTGAAATGATCTTTTGTTGTGGTGGTTCAAAGGTTACTAGGGCTTCTCTTTCTTTACGGCTGTTTCTGGCTAGTTACTCCCTCTGAGTTCAGAGTCAGACAAACACTTCTAAGATTTTGGAAAATCTTAGATTTCAATAAGGAAATAGCAGCTTTACTTCAAAGGAAAAGGCCACAGAGAGCCAACTAAAGTCCATTTCTGCAGGTCACACTTCTCTTAACTCCCCATCCTCCAGATCCATTCCCCAGGAAAGTCAGACTGACAAAGTGTGTCTTCTTCTAGAGCAGAGCCTTAGCAAAACCCTCTACCCTCAGCCTCAGCAGGTAAACCCTTCTCAGATTAGCAGCTGATACACTGGGGAGGTAAAAGTTACCTGATGCTAGAAGAATAAAATGTAATGAAAAGTGTCTCATTTCTTGGTTGGAAAAACAGAGTATTGATATATATCTTCATAACCTAGAGATAGCAAGGTCGTATTTCTCAAGATGAGGTAGTGGGAAAAGTGGAAAGAGAAGAGGATGACTCTAAGACAGACTACTGACTTCATTTATTTATTTATTTCTTTTTTTCCTAACACAGTCTTTATTCCTGCTGTGGTCTGTGGACGTTTACTTTGACTACTAATGATATCTCCAGTCCTGCCATATATATATATATATATATATATATATATATATATATATATATATATATATATATTTGTTACTTGTCAGCCATTCTCAATACACAATGAGTATTTAGGTAGAAGAAAGCTTTCTGAACTTCAGGAAATCATGCTCAATTATCTGCCACTAAAATACTGAAATGTTCCAGGAAAAGTCTTAAAATAACTTTGCACATATGCCTCTGTGTGTGTGTGCATGCACGTGTGTGTGTGTGTTAGGATCAAAACAGAAAAATAAAGAGCAAGAAAACGTAGATTTTTTTTTTTGGTGGCAAAAATATGTCCCCATGGTTCCCGCCCCTTTGAGTGTTAAGTGGCTAGCTAAAGGAGTAGGTTGCTTTAAAATCTTATTTCACTTAAAAACATTTAGTAGTGACACCCCCTCCCCCAAATTATCATTGTTAACCACCAAGTGTATTCTTTAGTAAGAATTTGTGGTAATACTCTTCATGCATGCAGCAGCAATGGGCACTCCTTCTTAAGGTTTAAGAAAACATGAAAACCACAAAGAATGTCTGAAATTATTTTCTCTTGGTTGGCGGAACAGATGCCTTTCATCAAGGAAAATGCCTTTGGCCAAAACAAAGCCATATTCATTTAAAATATATTGTTTAGTAATTGCACAGACTCTGGATTATATAAAATTTACTTTCAATGCAAAGATTTCATTTTTCTAGAAAAGGTTAACAAGCAAAATAGAGCAGGAAGACAGGCAGAGGATAATGTGTTAAAAGAATCAACTACGTCAAGGGCAAGAGCAGTTCAAGAAATGACAATGCAAGTACATTGAAAGGAAATTGGCCAATGTGGATGTGATTTTGTCTAGGGGTCATTCAGGAACACCTGGCTGACTTTATTTATAAGGCGATTGTCAAATCAATCTGTAGAATATGGATGAGGTGAAACGCAGAGGTAGAGTATTATTCTAGATCATCTGTAACTTTTCAAATACAACTATCGCACTGAAATTCCAGGGAGAATGTAAGTGACTCCAATAAAGAAACCTGTCAGTCAGTCAAGAGTGTTTATTTATTATCCCCCTGTGCCAAGCAATATTCTAGCCAATATGAAATGATACAAAATAAAGAGTAGTCATCACCCTTCCAATCTCCTGAGAGCAAATGGATTACATTTGCAGACACACACACACACACACACACACACACACACACACACACCCCACCTCTATGTGGGTGGTCAGGAAACTCAACTATATGGACATATAACAATTTCATTTAGAAAAGTGCTGATTAGAAAACTAAACTTACAAAATTAGAAAAACTGGAGAATAATGAATTTTATGAAAAATAGATTACAATGGATTCATAAGGCATGCCCTTTATTTAAGTCCCATTATGTTATTAAAATTGGGAATAACCCTTCACCCTCACAAATTTACAAAATATTTTTGGAACACATTATGCAAATATGGAGTCACACTGGTGTTGTGGAGCTGCTAACTCGAATAAAATACCATACTTGATAAAAAACCTTCTGTCCACTAAACTGTAAATGCCTTAAAGTCAAAGATCAGGCCTTATTTGCCTTTAGTGTATATTTAGTACTCTGTAGATAGAAGTGGTAAAGGGATAAGAATGAATGAATGAGACAGGCGGGTGAAATTTTCAAGAATGAGACAGATGGGTGAAGTTTTCAAAGGTTTCTAAAAGGGAAAAACAAGAAGACTAGGATATTCCAAGCAGAAAGGTCTGGTTGGTTGGCCCCAGTTGGTGTTCGCATATAAGAAGAGGGCTTGGCATTTTCCTCACCACTGAAGAAGGATCAGCCCCTGGTTTGGTCCAGTAAGAATATGTTCTTGCCCAAATGCCACTCCTTAGTTTCAGGGACATTGCTATTTTGGTTTTCTGTTCCAGCCCAAGTGTTCTTGATGGTCGAATTGTTTGCATTGACTTTTTTTCCACAAGAAGTTGGGTGATATTGCTGATTTGCCTGCCATGGCACTTCCTTGTTTTCATTTTGATTATTACTCAAAAATAGCTTCATTTTAAAATTCAACTTTTCTGACTCTCTGCTTGTGCCTTTAACACATTGACAATGATTTTCTGCTTCTCCACAAAGAAAGCACGTTGGATCCTGTCACAGACATATTTAGCAGACATGGAACCACCATAAGCCCTGCTTGGCATGTGTGTTTCATTTCAGACTACCTCATGAGAACTTTAGGTCTTAAAGCATCGGCCTCTCTCTCCAAGTCAGCCTGAACACAAGCCACAAGAGATTTCAGTTCTTTCTCGACCTTTTTGGTGTAAATGTAAACAATTCTATCACCAGGGGTTCAGGGCAGCCTAGTTTTGTTAGAGGCTGTATTGTAGGAAAGTCCAAGGTTGCAGGATCATTCTGAGTCCCTTAGACACCATTCTCAGAAGAGCTTGCTATTAGCTTAATGCTGCCCAACTACTACGTATGCTTCACGAGGGCAGGGACTTTTGTCTGTTTTCACTGCTACGGCTCCAACCTCTAAACAGTGCCCGACATAGTAGGCATTCAGTAAATATAGTACTTGTTAAATGGATGTTATTTTGGCTGCCTTTACTTTTGCTTTATTTGTCCTGCTTTACGGAGCTGGAAATTGGAGGAAAGCCTTTGAATTCATTTCCCTTCTTCCTTCTGTTCTGAAACTCTGGCCAAGGGTCCTAGCAAAGACCTTAGGGAGTGGGGAGCCCTCCTGGAAACTAATGACAAGTCAGGCGACAGGGGGCGGGAGAAGGAGAGCTGCAGGAAGTTCTTTCCCACTTACTTCTGCAGCACCCTTCACCACCCATCGTGCTCTGTATTTGGGGTTAGAGGTGTTCCGTGGAAGGGAAAGCAGGGGCCGCCTTGGCCGCGTTCCTCTCCTGGGCCACCGGGGTCTTGCCCACAGCGAGTCCCGCAGCACCCCCTGTCTGCGCAGCACCTGTTGACAGCCAGTGGGCGGCCAAGCCCGCTCGCGCGGACGCGTCCCAGGGCTGCCCCTCCCAGAGGCGCTGACCCCCGCCCGCCCCATCGGCCGCCTGCGGGAGAGCCGCTGAGCCGCCCCCGCTCGCCAGGCGCGCGCTCCGCCCGGGCTCGGCCCACGGCCCCCACCTCCTGTCTGCCGCCCGGCGGGGGGAAGGTAGAGAAGGGGAGGGGACAAGCCGGATCCTCCCGGCCGCCCCGGCCTTCCCTCTTCACCCCGTGCGGAGACGCCGCGCGTAGCCCCGAGGTTAGCGCGGAGCCCGAGGCGTGGGGGGAGGGGACGGGGAACAACCGGAGCCCCGCGGTGACCCCGAGCGGCCGAATTGCCCCAGGCTTTGAGGAGCGGGGGACGAGCCCGAACAAGGTGAACTTTGGTCGCGGAAAACTCAAGCCAGGTGCCGGAATCCGTGCTGCGGCGCTCCGAACCCGGGGCCAACTGCGCTCCGGGCTGAGGAGCGGGAGCCCCGCGGCCTCTCTCCGCCTGCGCCCGGGCCGCCGTCGGCCCGGAGCCCCCCGGCCCCGCTCCGGCGCCCCGGCCCGTGGGACCCGCCGCGGCGCCCTCGCCTTGTTTCTTCCCCCTCCCCCTTCGGGGGTGGGGGGTGGGGCGGGGGAGAGGGGCGCCCGGAGAGCCGCATCTATTGGCAGCTTTGTTATTGATCAGAAACTGCTCGCCGCCGACTTGGCTTCCAGTCTGGCTGCGGGCAACCCTTGAGTTTTCGCCTCTGTCCTGTCCCCCGAACTGACAGGTGCTCCCAGCAACTTGCTGGGGACTTCTCGCCGCTCCCCCGCGTCCCCACCCCCTCATTCCTCCCTCGCCTTCACCCCCACCCCCACCACTTCGCCACAGCTCAGGATTTGTTTAAACCTTGGGAAACTGGTTCAGGTCCAGGTTTTGCTTTGATCCTTTTCAAAAACTGGAGACACAGAAGAGGGCTCTAGGAAAAAGTTTTGGATGGGATTATGTGGAAACTACCCTGCGATTCTCTGCTGCCAGAGCAGGCTCGGCGCTTCCACCCCAGTGCAGCCTTCCCCTGGCGGTGGTGAAAGAGACTCGGGAGTCGCTGCTTCCAAAGTGCCCGCCGTGAGTGAGCTCTCACCCCAGTCAGCCAAATGAGCCTCTTCGGGCTTCTCCTGCTGACATCTGCCCTGGCCGGCCAGAGACAGGGGACTCAGGCGGAATCCAACCTGAGTAGTAAATTCCAGTTTTCCAGCAACAAGGAACAGAACGGTGAGTCTTTCCCCCATTCTCCCCCTGCTTGTTTCTCGCTGTGTGTGTTAACGTTGGCATTGTGCGTTGGTATGTGATATATACCAGACTGTGAAGGTATCTTTGGTCTCTCATTACATGCAAATGTGCGCTGCGTTCATTGGCATGGACTGTTAAAGGTTAAGTGTAGTTTGCAACTTCGGGAGCTGCCACAAAGCTCCAAGAGGGCAACGTGAGTGCCACTGCTGAGTGAGGACATTCTGGGAGCGATTGTGAACGTCATTTCAAATGCACATTGCAGGTTCGCTCATTGCTAAAGTTAGAAGTTCAAGAACTGCCTCTAAAAACGAATCCAAAATGAATGAGCCTTGGCATGTTTGACTTTACTCAGATTTGGGGAGGGCGAGGGGGGTCGGTCAGGAAATATATCAGCCGCATTAATTGAAGCACTCTAGGTCGAAGTCATCAATTAATCAATGAGTAGATAGGAAATATAGAGGTCAAGAGGCTGTGTGGTCGTTTTTAGAGGAATTAAAAAGTGTATTTCTCTTGCTCCCTAGTTTTTGTTTTTTAAACTTGCCTTTGTACTCTGAAGTCCTTACCTTTCTGGTGGTGTGTTTTTGTATGTGTTGGTGAATGACTGCTATTTTGTGTGTGCTGGAAACGACTTAATCCTGCATAGGAAATGAGAATTACTTTCAGCTTTCAAGTGTACCTGAAATGTTTAGAAAACTCTCAGATGCAAGTTCCCTTGGGCTGGGATTGCACAGAGCTGGAGAAAGGCTCCTTTCATAAAGCCAGGGCAGCTTCAGGGTGTGTAATTTGCTTAGCCTCTGAACCCATATGATTTACATCATTCAATTTCTAAACTCTTTTTCTCTTCATCTACCATTATGAAGTCATTTTTGAGAATACTTTGTAAATAGAAATTTTATACTGCACATGAAACCACAATGTTCATGTTAGGCTGTCTAAAATTGGAATATTTAACGCCCTGTTTACAAATGGTGGCTCTTACTGTAATTTGAAAAGGAATATACATGTTTTTACTGCTTTGTATATCATCTATTCAGAATGCAAGGATTCTGTCACTTGATTAACCATGCAAAATGAACACAAGTGGCATACCTACAAAATTAAGATAGGATGTGCTATAGTTTTAAGTCAGAGTGATTTTTTTTCCTTTTCATATTGGGGTGTTTCAAGACTTCAACTTTGAATTTAAACTCTATGAAGTGTTCATGTTTAAGAAAGCACAGAAAGTTTTAGGGTATAAAAGTAGATAAAATAAGGATTCTGCCGACTTTTGCAAACGTTATTTGTATTTGCTGTTGCGCAGCAAGACATAGTATCACATTTATCAGCTAATATTAGTGTGGTGCTTCTTACAACTTGCTAATGTGATGCCACATGGCACCTGCAGGCTCCTTGAGCTGCTGATCAAAGGGCAGCCTAGGGATGTATCTCTAATCACAGTAGCTGCAGAGGTCTGGGGGAAAGTGATCAAAGGAGCCACAGCACCAGCTGTACCCGTGCAGGAAACACATCAGACCAACCTTTGTTCTTTCTCATGTAAAATAAATGTCCAGTTCAAAATATTGCTTCTTACTAGCCAAGCTCCTCCATAATGACAACAATGCACAATATTCCTGGCTTCCTGGCTTCTGTTTTTTATTGTTCCTGTCCCATATCATTTCTCCTATTGCCTTGTCTTATCAAGCCTCTCTTGGCATCTGCCCGAATCTCTTTGCTGACCTGTGCTTCTCTTTGTCCTTTCCTTTTAGTTCTCTCTTGTGATCCCCATGCTATCATCACTTTGTAAGGGTCCCAGAGCTGTCATGCAGCATGTGGTCATAGGCCACTTTACCCAAGTAGATTCACACCTCCAGGAGAGATGAGTTCATTAAGCCAGGCCACACACATTCTGTTGCCATCTGAGGCTGGGCCATTTCCATTCCTAAGATGCATGATGCTAAAAATTGCTGCTTGTTTCCTAATCTGTGGGTAGAGGATTAGGCTATGTTTGGGGGTTGGTCTATGTTAAGGATGGCAGCAGGAAGTAACTAGAAGTAGAGGAACTACTTGTAGTTTTTAGCCCAAGGAGAAGTGGCACTGGCCAGCACTAGGGGGCAATATAGAGCTATTTTCTTGCACATGCTCAGGTTGATTTTTATACGTAAATGTTTCAAGATTTGAGGGTAACAGGTGGGTGCTGAAGAAGATTCCCCTGGAATGTAACCAGATTTGTTAGAGCTACTACCATTACCGTTACTACTACTACTTCTACTTCTTCTTCTTTTTGTCTTTCAAATTTTCCATTATGTGGGTAATCTTTTGCCCACATACTGAATTATGATTGAATTTTGATTGCCCTGTTGCTGTCTCAATTTTGACAGTTGTACAGTCCTGTAAATACGAACCCTCCTTGAGGATACCACGTAGAAGATCCCATTGGCCCAGTTTGTGCATTGCATCGTTTTGTGACAGGTCTTCTCTAACTCTGAAATGTCCAAATTGATATATTATGACTGTAGCAGCTCATTCTTGTCTCCAAGGACCCCTCCTCATGATACTCTCTTTTCTTGAGTATTCTAAAGTCCCTAATGGTGATTACTCAATCAGGTACCTCGGGCTGCTCAGTTTTAATATTAACTTGGTATTTCAAGAGGAGGTAGAATTGGAAATTGATTGCTGTAGCCAATGCTGCATACATGGATTTAGACTGGATCATGTGGACATGGTTCAGAATTAGCTTTGAAGGGTTAGTGTCATTTACACTATTGTTAGGTATCTGGTTTTTGACCTACCATTGGATTGCAATTCTTGCCACTTTTACTGTACAAAGTTTTATCCTCTAATATTATAAGTTGACTTCATATACTATACTTAATTTTTAACCTTACTTCTGACCCTGTCTCACTTATGAAAACAAGAGTCTTCAGATTTAACTTGAGGAAAGAGATTAAAAGATAACATTGACTTGCTTGGAGGGTGTCTGGCCTGTATACTTGTTGTATGACCATGGTGAAAAATACTCATATTTTGTGCACACTGGTTTTAGATGAGAATGCCTATTGTGGAATGATTAAGTTCTGGGACGGTGCTTCTGAGTTGTAGCAGAAAGAATCATACACCCAGGAACAAAACAAAACCTACTTTGTCTGTTGCATACAGCACAAAGAGATGTCAATGACAAAGTTGTTGGTGGAGGAATGCCTCTTCTACCTGTGTTGTTGGTGAGTGATTTTTAGTTTACTCATAGATTAAGAGCATGCGTATCATTTTTTTCTCATTTTCTTTAGCCATTCTGAATTTTGATTTGGAATATGCCGCTCTTCGCTACGGTTGGTCTTATTAACATCAGTTATTGTATGTGTTCTTTTTCTCAAGGGCTTTTGTGGCATGTGGGGCAATTTACTTTGGTCTGCTGGTCGTGCCCTTTTGCCGGTATCTTGTGTTTATGGATTTTCCATCTCTTTTTATCAGTGCCAGCTTTCTCTTCCTACTGTCAATGCTCCTGTATCTAACAAAATTTAAATTAAAAATGGAAAATTAAAAAAGGTGCCCAGTCCCCTCGCCATCATTTTTAGGTGGCAGCTTCAAATCTCTGTTTTATCAAAAACAGATAACCACAATATTTAGAACAGTGTCCAAGAGTAAATAGGCTCTAACTGCAGACTAAAGGGACTTTCCTGTAAGTTTCCCTGTAAGTTTTATTGCGTGACCTTTTTGACATTTATTTTTGTTGTTTAAAGGCTTTTTTACAAAAAAAAAAAAAAAGAAAAAACTTCCTCCTGGTTCTCTGCTGTTTGAAATAGTTGAGGAAGTTGAACAAGTACAGTGCCATTATGTAATGATGAATTTTGTCTTTTCACAGTAGGTGATTAAAAAGCTCTATTATGTGGTAATTTTTCTTCCATATCAATTTTAATCATAGATATTGGATGGATGATATACTTTGCTTTTACCACTGAAAGGTGTTTAGAAAGTACAGAGGTTTGTAGGAAGCCTCAGGGACTAATATATCGTTTGTTAAATAGTTGTAAATAGAGGATGGGATTGGACATTAAACTTCCCTCAGTGCTGCCATCTCTTCTACGACCTCTAGTTCTGTCTCAGGCACGGAAGCCTTAGCTTTGTCTACTTGTATTTCACCCTTCCTGAAACTTATTTCTTAAATATCTTCTGTATATTAGCTTCCACTTCATGTTTTTTTCAAGCTTTAGACTGATAAGGTTCTAAGTTTTATCTATAAACTTTTGCACCCTTTGTGGAAACAAAATTCTAATGATAAAGTGATATGTTGAATAAGTAATAACAAATTAAGACATTCATAAATTTCATAGTAAAAAAAAAAAGTTTCCAAGACTGATGATATTTTCCCCGTAGGTTTCTGTTTGTATCAACCAAAATGGTAGAAGTCATAAAGTCCCTTCATTTACTTACTCTGATTTTCATGTTTCTAATTTGGAAGCATTATACGTAATCAGAATATATAACTCTGTGTAACTCTATGTAATCTCTATATAACTCATTTATTAAGCAATCTCTGTTGCTTCTTGATCTTTTGGGTAAGATCAGTTGTAAACAATCTGTATGTTGTATTATTTTTCACCACCACTGCCTCCAACTATGATTTTATTTTTCAAATCTCCCATTTTTTAAATCTCCTAAGGAGACATCTAATATTTGATAATCATTTAGTATGCACCAGTGTTAGTTCCATACTGATTACCAAAATGTTGAAATGTTGAAATATTTCCAATGAGTTGGGAAGAGACTAGTGCAACTCCTCTAAGACAAATGGACCAACACGTGATGAAGCAGAAATTCCAATGCCTGGTACTGCTTAAGGCCTCTGAGATACTTCTGCAACCCTGCTGGCCTCTGTCCTGATCGATCAGTGTTCCTGCCGTACTGATTGTTAAGCATTTTGACACTTTTAGCTGTGGACAATTTTAGTTCATATTGGGGTTAAAATTTCTATCTTTTTTCCTCTCTGCTTGGCAGCTCAGGCCTGACCCATGACTTGAAGGACCTGGAGTAAGAAGGGGTATGGCTTCTTTCAAGCTCCCTTCCTGCAGCTCTTTTGGCTTTAGCTCCTCAAGGGTTATGGCTGGGGGAGTGATGAGATGGTGGACATGGCACACTCAGCATACAATTGCAACTTCCAGTCATTTGCCCCTGCCTCTCTGGCTAACACTAACCAGCTGCTCTTGCATGGATAACACCTTCCCTTCATCTAGATTAAATGATTCACTTCCTCAGAGAGGTCTTTTTTCTGACCACTAAGTCTAAATTAACCACCCCTCACTGTCTTGTCAAGGTTAATTAATTAATTATGTAGTACTTAATACTCCTTGATATTCTTGTTTATTAATTAATTAATTTATTATCTACCAACATCCCTCACCCCCACCATAAAATCTAAGTTGTTGAGAGCGTGGACCTTGTTTGAATCGCTTCCTGTAGGAACTCCAGCACCTGAGACAGGTATGGCAGAGTGTGCCCGATGAGTATCTGTTGAAAGGTTCTGGAGGTAGTTAGTATCTTATTAAAGAAAGACTATGCTGTTAACTCTAACAACAGGCCATCTTTTAAGATATCTTTTTGGTCTTGGAGCTTGCACACTACTTGACTTCTTAAATAGGAAGATAGCTTGTTCATGTATTGGTAGTGATGGTTGTGCCAATCAGAGTACCACGTTTTACTCTTGATAAAGATTATGTTACCAAGTGAGCAGGTACCAGGCAAATGGATAGGTTTCCTAGAACTGGTTACTCTTTTAAGTGTCATTGCTGTGCATAGCCTTACATTTTCTGAAGATGGGGACTGTCATGTGATGCAGACCAAGGACTCTTGAAAATGTTGCATAGATGACAAGCCTCCAAAATCTGTGTACTTTCTATATTTTACCTGTGGCTCAAGGATAACTTGCACAGGCTAGAACTCAGCAACATGTGTGGTATGAGGAATGTTAGAGTTGGAAAGACCCCAGGAACTTATCCTCACTGATGTGCAGATTGAGGCCTAGAGAGCAGAAGTTGACTTGACTTTGTCAAGGCCACTAGACAGCCACTATTAAACTGCTAATGTGGTGATACATTTTTCCTTATGTGAGAACCAATTAGGAAAATGGAATCCTGGTTTCAAAATTCACATACTTTTTATAAAAGCATTTCTTTATTATGTTAGTGGATTGCATGGTTTTCAGATTGGGAGATGAGGTAAGAATCTGTTGCTTCGGAAATATTTACGGGAACAGTAAGGGAAACAATCTCATAATAATCACATTAGTCAAATGGAATGGTATATATATATCACTATATATATACTGTATATATATGTACTATATATACAGTATATATAGTATCACTATATATATACTGTTATATATATATCACTATATATATATATAGTGATAACTTCTGTTTCTGTAGGCATCTGACAAATTGGCAAATAACTGGAAATACTACCTTTATAATGGTTACCATTATGTTAGAACTGTACTTTAAGCAAGTATATAGATGAAGGATGTTTATTTTAATATTTTGGCTTATTCAGTGATGGTGATGAATAATATGGCTGACATTGGCATGCTTGGTTCCACAAGGAAACTTTCTGGTAATAATTTTAACATTTCATTTAACAGTACATCTCAATGATAAAAGTACCATAAAAATGAATAAATAAGCATGTTTAGTGAACGCTAGAAAGTATAACCTATTATTTTTGAAATATATTCAGTGAGTGACCTTAACTTTTATTTACACTATATTCTATGGGATATTCTATTCAGAAGTTCAAGTTTTTTTTTTTTTTTTTGGTCAAGACCGTCAGAAAATAAATTCATAGCTATAAACTTGAATGGCTTGCCTAAAATATTATTAATTTACCTTTTTAAACTTTGGTTTGCAAAGTTCCCAAATCTGAAAACAAAGGGAGCTAAAAATTATAAAGGGGAACTATAATAACTACGTTTATAATTAAAGCCAAGTTGTTATAAGTGATACTTTTGGTAGCATTCGCTAATTTTGCCTTTTACCTCATGGGAATGCATTTTAAATTTAGTTTTGTTAATTTTATTTGTCATCAGATTTCTCGTTAGAATTCATGTGCCACCTTCAAGCCACTTTTTATCATCCCCTAGTGACTGAGTAGGCTCCTCCCTGGACGGTTATTTGCCCTGTTTCCACACCAGACTATCTTTGCCAGGCTGGCTTCACTAAATTTGCTCTCTTGCTATTCCACTTAATTCCTCTTTTATTTTCAGACTGTGATTTTTTTTTTGTACTTAGCTTTTTCCCTTTTGTATTTGTTTTGTTTTGTTTTATTTTTGAGACATGGTTTCACTGTCACCCAGGCTGGAGTGCAGTGGTATGATCACAGCTCACTGCAGCCTTAACTTCCCCAGGCTCAGGTGATGTTCCCTTTTCAGCCTTCCAAGTAGCTGGGATTACAGGTGTGTGCCACCACTCCCTGCTAATATTTGTATTTATTTTTAGAGATGGGGGTCTTACTATGTTGCCCAGGCTGGTCTTGAACTCCTAGGCTCAAGTGATCCTTCCACCTCGGCCTCCCAATGTGCTGGGATTACAGAGGTGAGCCACTGTGCCCAGCCGGCTTTTTTTCTTTAGACTAGTAGTTGGGTTGTTTCTTAGTCCACTGAGGTATGTATTGGGTTGTTGCTGGGGTTTGTGGGGCAGAGGCAAAGTAGAGGTCTGATTCCTTAAAGGAAATCAACATTCTCAAACAGAACAAGGCATTTTAATGGTAAGTGCAAGGATGTGGATTTACATTTCTACTATATACACTATGTGCTGATAAACCAGCATGATCTGCCAGGAAGGACCTGGGAGCAGCAGGATTTAGATGCATTTTAGAGGGTAGTTGGATGGGTCTAAAGGGCTCTGAGTAAGCTTCTAGTTTTGCATTGCTTAATAATGACTCTCCAGGAGTGACTCTTAGGTGCCACATGTGTCCTCAATGTTTGCAGATAGTATGCAGTGTATAAACTCTCCGTGAGGTATTAGGAAAAACACCAGGGCTTCACTGGCTAAGTAGCTTAGCTAAGGTCCCACAGCTGGTAGATGTTTGGACCTTGGTCTGACTCCAAGCCAGGACTCAGAGCCACGTGCCTCTTCCTTCATAAGTTAAATGGTCTAATGTTTTATTAGAACATTGTTTTCATTCAGCAAATATGTATGAGCATCTGCTCTTTGCTAAGCTTTGCCCTAGGTGCCGCATATGCAGAGAAGAAGATGCAGACCTGCCTTTGAGAAACTCGGTCAGAGGATGGCAGATCCTTCCTTTTACTTCATGGTCTATTAGTTTTGTGCTCAAAGTGCTATGGGAACACAGTGCTTTATTTCACTTCAAAAATCCTCTATTGATTTACTAAGTGGTTGGTTTTGTCTGGAAGGGAAGTTGAAGGAGAAAAGTTCCCACAGAGGAGGTGATGTGTTTTGAAGCGGGTCTGAGAGGGAGAAAAAGAGGGAAGGATCCTAGGCTGAGGGAACAGCCTGAAGAAAAGAATAGAGGCATGAAGAGGCATATATCATGGGCGAGAGACAAGAAGCATCGAGAATGTTGAGAGTGAGGAGAGGCTAGAAAAAGTGGAAAGATGTCCTAGACCTATGCATTCAAAGGCCCTGATGCTGTGTGTACTTCCTGCAGGGTTGACAGTTAACAAACAGAACAAAAAGAAAAGTCTTCATGTCTAAGATTCCATCAAAACCCTTTCTATTCAGTTCCTTTCTCAGCAGGCAGGCAGTGACAGATTTCTGCTTTGGTGTGTGCAGATAACTACTTGTTGCTGGAATGTTTTTCAGTCATCAGGCATGTTTGGAAGTTGTGAACAGGTTAGAAGGGCAGGCTGCGCAGCCTCAGTTCCACTCTCCTGAGCTGAGCCTGTGTCCACACTACTCTATATTGCCTTCTTTATGTAAACAAAGAGCTATTTTCACACTTCATTCACAAAACGGATGGCGTGCAGAATGAGGCTGGGTGAAGGATCCGCAATTGGGATAAAAGGGAGGCAGCTTCCAGGACACTGAATTAAAGTAATGAAGCTGTTACATCACAGGCAAAGAAAACAGTTATAACACTTTTAAGATCTCAAGTTTGTGGAAAATTAATTGCTATGAGGTTACACTTCATTGAGTATCTGCATCATTTTTCCACTGACATTCATTCGGGTCCCGTGTATATAAATGCTGGAAAGATTTTGTGGTATTTAAGGATTTGAAATGACTGAATTCTTTTGGTGGATGTACTATCTTGATGCCATGCCATTTTTTGAAGCTCTGCTATTTGCATTCTAGGAAATCCTTGTTCATGAGTGGATACTATTTTAAGCATTTCAATGTTTGCATGATAGAAATATACTTCTGTGCTTAAATATGCCCAGTTGGCCGTTGCACCTGCCCTTTGAGTCACTACAGAGATCAGAAACCATTAACAACAGAAGTTGAATTTACGTGGTACTTATCTCCTGTTGTTTCTGGCAGTTATTTTGCTGCGTATTTATAAGGACATCTGTCTTTTAAGTAGTCATAATTATTTATCTTTTTTTCTGCTGGGGAATAAATCACAGCTTGTTTCCCATAATGCCATATATATTCATAGTCTAGGGTGATTAGAAATGCAAATTGAGAGTCATTAAAGCTTTATAATTTATTTTGCTTTGGTAGCAGATGATATTTAAAATCAGTGTGCTAAGAAGAAACATTTGCTTAAAATATAAGATGTGAACAAATTAGAAGACAGAAGTATTCATTTCTCCTACTGGAAATTTCTTGCTGGGTCTGGGAAAAGGGGGAAACCTGCAGTGTTCGTTTCTAATTTACTGTACTTTAAACCTGAGATCTTATGTCAGGCAGGGTGCAAATTGTAAAGAACATAGGAAAAACACAGTAATGATTAGTGTTTTCAGATTGCTCTATGGAAGCATGCTAAAGACTCTCTCTTACTAGAGTGTGATTTGCCTTTGGATTACCCATTAAAAGGATGGATAAAATTTAGATGAATTTCTTATAGTAGTTGGTGGTTTTGTGAATACACTAAAAACAAGGGAAAAAGTTGGATAATGCTGGTATGAAAAATATAGATCTGTACATCCATAGCCTGAGATGGGGTGTCCTAGAGACAGATCTCTGCTGGAAATGCGTTAATTTTGTAGATAATAAAAGGCATCAGGGGATTCTTTGTTTTCAATAGGCAGTGACATCTCTACAACTATGCATTTTATTATTGACTTTACTTTTATTTCTAAACAAAAGTTCACTATTTCTGGAGCTATAAATGAAAAAGAACACACACATATATAGATATACACACACACACGTGTGTGTGTATATATGTCTGCATCTAAAGTTATAAGAACACTAGTATGCCATGAGGTCTAGTCTCTTGTATTGTAGAGGCAATACATTTTCATGTAGAGCTCCAGAAATAATGTACTTTTGTTTAGAAATAAAAGTAAAGTCAGTAACAAAATGCATAGTTGTAGAGATATTCCAAATTTATAGTTTTATATATATATATATATATATAACAGTTATATATATATCAAATGGCTTCAACTGTATCTTTGCATTGTGTTAGTCACTATGGTCAAAACTGTCTATTTCAAAAGCAGCAATCTGAAAATAGCAGGCAATTTCCCAGGTCACAATCTGGCTAGGCTACTGAGAGATGCTGAGTCGAGATACCTAATTGATAAATACTAACCCTTTAAAAAGTGGTTTTTAATCTGTGTTTTCTTGAGAATATTAGCAGTCTTGAGGTTTTAAGCCATGATAACGAAGAAAAAATTAGTGATTAAGTCATCTCTATTCTTATTTTAAAGAAGTTTTTGCTTCACGGTGAAAAATTTATCTTTAATCTGTACTGATAACTTTGAATAGGCATCGGTTGGGCACCCCATTAAACTAACAGCTTTAAAATGGTTTCCTTTTAGAACTAACATTTACATCCTAGGAAATCAATTAGGGTGTCTGGATTTTACATTTCCCTTGCAATCTTTGTTTGCAGTCATTTCTAAGTGGCCAACCTACCGTAGCAAAAACTCAGAGGTGCAAATCTTCTGGAAGAAGTGTAAATGCCACAAGTTTACTTGGAAAAATGGAAAAATAGGACTTATTTAATGTATCTGCCGAACATTTAAAACTGCATAAAGCACTGGAAATACTTTTGGTATGTAGGAATGTGTGGTGTTTCAAAACTACAAACATTGTTCTGAAAATTTCCCCGGTAGTGGTGAATTATATGAGACCACGTCCATCTAAGGAAGGCTTGTTTAACTAGCCTGTGGTTCTGGGGCTCATTCAAACACTCTTAAACAAAATAAAGGGAATGGATGTAATAACTTCTTTATGGAAAGGCCATAAAAAGCTACAGGGCCATGTAAACAAATTGGGTCATTTACTAGATGTTTAAGTGATAGATTTGCAGTCCAAATTTAGGGGTGTGTATTATGTTTTATAGGATGGTGACCATGTTCTACCTTGAGAATGAGGTTGCAAGCTTATTTTTTGTTTATTTGTTTGTTTTCGTTTAGTGCGTGGAAATCCATTATTGCTATTTTGTATTGCACTTGGAAAGCATACCTAAAATTCTGGGCAATTGCATTTATAAAGCTTTTCAACTTTGAAAAATGGCTAGAAACTCAGGTATGAAGATTGAATTGATCTGATTTCTGGTATCATTAGGTTCTTTTCAAGGAAAATAAGATGATTGAAATAGAAATTTTCCTTCTGGGCTCAGACATGTCTAAACTAATTGTAAAATAATTGTTCTGGCTTACAAGAGTAGACTCATAACTACAACTATGTAAAGTAAAAAATCTAACAACAGTTAGGATTTATAGTTACTGTCACTCTGCCAGTCTTGTAATAAAACTGCTATTATAACCACCCTAGTGTGAGATTCATTTGTCTTACTTGAGAAGTGGGCAATAAGTCCTATCCAAGTTATCTTGCTTTTAGCAGAGCCACTTTATTGCATTAGGATATTAATTTACCTTCTCTGAAATTGGGTATGATGATTGTGCCAAAATGGTTCAGTAAAGGGGAGTTGGGTGGGTGGATGTATAAAAATATGTTGTGCTGCGCATTAATGGTGATGACTAGTGGCAATGGGAGCTAGAAATAAACTTGGAAATTGAAGTAAGCACAGGAAACGAAATAATTTTTATGTTGATACCATAACATTTATTCATTCTGTAACTTCTGTCAAACATGGTTGGCTCATTTGGCCTTAAAGGAAGTGATTGTGTAAGAAATCCTTAGTAAAAATCAATGAGCCTTTCTAAGTTTTGAAAACTGATGGCATCATACCACACTGGCAACTTTTAAGTGTTACTGCTGGAAGTTTGGCAGCAGAAATAACTGCTTCAGCTTCACAGTCTTAAAAAACAACAGACAATGGTGGATATTATAGTTTCTGTGTAATGTGTGACTTGCTAGTTCCTTTTTTTTTTTTTAAATGAGTAACTTGATGGCCTTAAGTCTGTGAATAAACCTAAGACCTGCATTTAAACTGGATTTTCTGTGATCTTGAAAACAACTCACACTTCTATGCCTTAGGTACCTGTCTGAAGCTGAGGCATTGTGGAAAATGCAAAGAGAAATTAGGCTTAGTCTCTGCCTTCAAGTAGTTTATAGCCAAAGGGAGAGAGAAGACATGCAGTTAGGTATATTAGAGAATAAAAAGCGATAGTATCATGTTTGGTGGGAATTCAGAGAAAGGCAAGATTATTTAGTTGAGCCATTAGAAAAGGCTGAGAAAAGTTGTTAGGGGAGATATATATTTTTTGAACAAAGGGGCCAGGAAAGATGAGCATCATTTGCACGTGCAGAATCAAAGGTGGGATAGGATTTTGGCAGCTGGAAACCTGGTGAGTAGATATGCGCAGTAAGGAAGTGTGGGAAATTCATGCAGTCTAAAATGCAGTTTGTTTTGAGGCAGACCTCAGAAGCAGGTTCAGTGGGAAGGTCATTGGAAATGGGAGGCACAAAGGGAGGAACATTGATGTATGACTTGGGCTTGAGTAAATAGAAGAGTGATTCTTCATGCTTTATTGTGAGCTCCTTTATCCACCCGCCCATCCCAGCTATGCAGGCAGCCAAATTATGAATTAAATCTGATTCCTGATGGCACATACAAGACAGAAACAGAATGAAGGTTGCTGAACAGTGAAGAATAAAGTCAGAAGGAAAAGGAAATCTCACAGGAAGAAATCCCCTGAAGAGGAAGCCATGAAGGAAAAAAAGTCAGTGCTATCACAAGGTGGGGAGTGAAGGATGCCAAGGAAGGAGAGAGAGAAAAATCACAGAAATTGGCCCAGATGATAAAATACAGCAGAGACTGAAAAAAATGAAGACCAATGAGTAGCCTATGATTTTTCCAGGTTGACACAAAGAAAAAATCTTCAGTGTAATAAGTGGTGTAGAAGAATGGACATGGAGTAAAGTGAGGAAGTGAGACATCACGTTTTTAAGAGAGAAGGAGATAGTGGTTCCAGGATGGAAGGAAACATGTTTTGTTTCTTTGCTTGTTTTGGAGGTTTGGGGGAGAGCCAGAGGAGAGGAAAAGATTAAATGTGTAGCAAGAGATAAGCCTTCTATTTTTAGAAAGTTCTCCTACCGTTGATATTGGAACACAGGTGAAATAACTGTAGAGCATTAAGCCGCATACCAAATAATCACAATAAGAACTGAGCTTATTTGGTAGGGAAGTAGGTACTAAGTTTTGGAGGAAGTGATCCTTGAGATAATTTTTGACCAAGCGAGGGATTCAGCATTCACAGAACAGCTTCTCGCCATTTTTCTTGAAAATCTGTCTTATTGCCACTTTGATGTCCTGGTACCTATCTTGTGGAAACCTCAGTTCCATTGGAACATCCAATTAACGTGTATATTTAGAGGACTTACTATGTCTCATAATCTGGGCTGCTCTTAGCACTCCAAGTCTGAGAAAGCAACTTAAAACTAATAGATTTTGTCCTGCTTAAATATTATTCCTTCACAATATTTCAAAATATATAATATAGTATGTTAAGTAAGCATGGAATTATTGTCAAGCTAATAAGTACATATTAACATTGCTATTTTTAGGTAAAATAATTATCTTTACATTTTTAAATTTCCTCATTCTCACTGTCATCCCAAACCAGGTGCTGGTTACCTATGACCTAAACTGTGGCAAAGTGTTCTTATTCTTCCTTCTATGACTCAGGCTTTTCCAATGCCGTGTCACCCACAATCGATCATTTGCAGGAGGTTAATGTCAGATAATCTTCTTATAATAGAGTTCTGGTTGTGTCTACTCTAGTCAAGCTTGGATTGGTGCTTCATAAACTGTAATATACATACAAATCACCTTATTAAAATTCAGATTCTATTTTAGTAGGTCTTGAGTGGGACCTAAAAGTTTGCATTTTAACCACCTCACAGGTGATGCTAATGCCATCGGACTGAGGACCAAACTTTGAGTAAGGAAAGTCTACATTGTTGTTCTCCATGGCTACTGTGCTGTCACCCCAGTCTTCTAATACAAAAATTACACAAAACTGACCTCTGCTCACCCCAGAGATCTGTACTTTCCTAACTCCATGTATTGCTCTGCCAACTCTTTCAAACAATAAATTAATTTAATCCAATACACAAAAGTGCGTGTTGTGGTGATTACTGTGTCACATCCTGAAAACAGGTAAACAAAATGTCCTTTGTGTGCTTGATGTTCATAATCAGTGTTGTTTGTATTACACTAGACATATGCTTAGAATGCCCAAGGACTCAGGGATGTTCTACTTTTGGGTCAGGAAGGGCTTCTCATGGGGTTATCACTGAGTAGGGTCTTGAAGGACAAATAATTCACCGGAAAAGGAAGAGAGAGTTCTAAGCAGATGGTGCGGACTTGTGAGAGAGTACAAAGCCTATTCAAAAATGAACTACTTTTGGTGAGAAGTAAGATTGAAAAATTATTCATTAATTTTGAGGGCTGTGTCAGACATACTAAGAGCATGTTTAGATGCAAACTCATGAGATGCTTGGGCACCACTGAAGGACCTTGGCTGATGGGTAATGATTATAGCCTTCTGCGCCAATTCCTAATAATAAGGGTGTGTCTTTTTGTTTATGCTTGTATTCTTACACCTATAACAGATCATTAAATATTCATAAATTAATCAGGTTTGATTTTTGTTTTTTAAATGCATTTTACATTTTTCGTATTATTATTTTATCAGCAAATAGGGTTTTTCCCAGCTTTGAGTATAGCTGACAATTAAAAACTGAATGTTTACCAAATAAAATGGAATGTTTTGATATATGTATACATTGCAAAAGGATTACCACAATCCAGCTAATTAATTTATCCATCACCTCACGTAGTTATCTTTTTTTTTCGTGGTGAAAACATTTAAGACCTACTCTCTAAACAAGTTTCAAATATATAATTGTTTTCTTTCCAAAATAAAGGTACTTCAGGATGATTGTAAAGGACAGAGAAGCTAGAGGCTGGGACAGCATTTTGAAGGCATTTGCAGCCGTTCAGATGCCAGACAGTGGAAAAATAGCCAAGTGAGTTAGTGCCTGGGGTGTGGAATGGAAGGGAACCATCATCTCTCCTTCATGCTGCGTGTTCAAAGCCAACGTGGATTTAAGGCCCTGTCTGACTGGTCCCCTCTCCGCCCCATAAAGCCTTCCCTCTTGCCTTCAGTCTAATATGTCTCTCTTCTCTAAACTCTCAGAATAGTGCAGAATTGACCACTTTCTACCTTGGATTCTAATTATATATGTGTTTTAATCTCCCATAATTTTCAAGTGTCAGAGAATAAAATGTTGAATAATCTCTAGCCTAATGCCCCACTGGATGGCAGATCTTTTAAGTGAAGTGAAAACAGCCCACTTAGACCCAACACAGCTTGTTCTGCTGCAGTCTTGGCATCTGGTGTCATAAATCATCATTGATGGGTTCTAAACGAGTCATATGCCTTATTTCACAGCTGGGGGATGCGCCTAACGTCTGGCTTCATTTTAAGGAACTACAAGGGGCTAACTGGAGAGCCTCAATCTTTTTGCTTAGACTGAGTAAAATGAATGCACAAAGAACATGATTGGCAAAATTATAATGATGACTGCTTAGAATGTTATTTCCTCAATAAGAAAAAAAAATGTATCATTTCCAGGAAACTTATTTTTAAACAGGGAACTTTAGGATAAAGTTTTATTGCAATCAATTTATTATAGAGAAGAGCATGACCATCGCAAGTTCATTTTCAGTAACTTTGACGTATTTTTTGTTTTGAATTATTTCCCCTTTTGCTCTTTCTAGTTAACATAAGATATAACTCATGTGCTTTCTTATTTTTAGTTTGTTTTTCTCTTTTGCTTTGAGGTTTTGAGATTGACAACTGTGATTTATCCCAGAGAAGGCAAAAATCTTGAAAAAGTCAGTCTTTTAAAAAGTCACTCAAAGAATATAGTTTTTTTTCCCTTGGAAATAAAGTTGATTTTCTCAGCTCTGATCCTATGAGATTATGGGCAGAACTAAATAGTCCTTAGTTCTGGCATGTGGACAAAACAGAAGCAGACCCTGGAGAGAGAGTTCAAAATTCATGACAGTAAGCACATGTTCGGTATGCCAATATTTATGGTGTCACAACCAAATTGAAACCATAACCCTCTGCTATTTACGTAAGTATGGTGCCCAGACTGCACAAGGTTATGCCTATGTTTCCCAGTAAATTTAAGGCAATAGAAATGTTCAGTACCCCTAGAGACCAGACTATTTATTTTCATGTTCATTTTGTTTCTCTATATGAGGCAGAGTGAATTGTCTTAATTTATATTCATATTTGAAGTCAGCCAGAATGAGAAGGAATGGCATTTAGTGAGGATAGAGAATGGTTTTGTGCTTTCATATGTAATGTATCCAGGCCATTGTGTCCTGGTATTCTTAGTTTCTGAGCTGGGGTGAGTTGGGGGTATTGATTATTGATAGTGAACATAGACTGCTTCTTAGATGGGTAAAGCTCAATGTTCGTATCTTACGTCTTATGCTCTTAGAGAACCTGGGTTTCACCACTTTGGTCAAAAACAGACACACATACTGTTGGTAAGAAGTCATGTTTTATGTCTTTTTATAGAAACTTTGAAAGTATTATCATTCTAAAGTATTTATCGTCCGGTAAAATTTTAAG
This sequence comes from Homo sapiens, assembly GCF_000001405.40. Taxonomy (NCBI): domain Eukaryota; kingdom Metazoa; phylum Chordata; class Mammalia; order Primates; family Hominidae; genus Homo; species Homo sapiens. The sequence goes on along the minus strand of NC_000004.12, from coordinate 156,953,600 downwards.
AACAATGAAGTTTCAGAACCACTATTGAGAGTACATCTTTTTTTCTCTACTTTTTCAAGACAAAGATATCTAGTAACTTAAATTATAGTAACATCGTCATGCACTTGTACAGCAATATAAATGAGAAAGATAATAGAAAAACCAAATAGCATATCACATTTGCTGAATGTGAATACGTTCTTAATGAACCTTTTTAGAATCTCAGACTCCTTCTGATCCCTTTACCATTAGTTGACTTTAGTCTAGAAAACAACTTGGACAGTAACCAGATTGCTAGGTGTCTTTAGTAAGTTGGCTGTTTGATTTGGCTCTTTGAGAGGTGGTCCTATATCTCTGTCAAGGGAAAGTTTTTCAAAACAATTGGTGACTGGAAAATGAGGAATGTTTTGTGCAAGAAGGGAGGCTTTCTCGTTTACAGGATAAAAGACATTTTGGAAGAGTAACTCCCAAGTAAGCAAATGAAGCTTGACTATGTAAATCCTTTTACTTAAGGGATAGAATCCAAGATATTTAAGAAGTCATTTTATTTCTTGAGTTCAGTTATTTAAACATTGTGCTTAGGCTTTTTGTTGGTACTCCAAACATTTTATTAAGATTTCCCTTGGTGTTTTCATAAAAAGACAAAATTCATTATGTTTTATTTGTAAATAATTGTCTTAAACCTAGATGAAAGAGAAAACAAACTTTTCTGTATCATATTCTTTCAGACTAGTTATTCAGTGTTTTTTATGCCCCAAATTTGAAAATGATCACAAATTTTTCACTGATCTGTTTATGTCTAATTTTGGTGCTGGAAAAATAAAAACAGATTACTTAGGGTGTTTAAATCCTGTACAGATTAGTAAACAATACCAAGGAAATTTACTTGGTGTTACTAGAAGGTTGAGGAAGGTTACTGGCTTTTGCAGTCCATTAGTAGATCAATTTGTTAAATGTTTAGTGCTAGGAATCTCATTTATCAGGAAATATCTTAGGCATTGGGGAGAATTGGCCTGTGGTATTTACATTTTAGTCTAGTTGCCAAAATTGATTTTCACGTTTTGTGTGTGACTTAGCTCTTTGTACTGCAGTAGATACCAGGTTAAAGCATAGTTCATATCTTAAAACATTAATAGATTTTGTTTCAGTGCTGCCAATAATTTCAGTGAGTAACAAAAAAACTCCACACTTTCATTAAAATGTTCTTAATGATTTCTGTTTGATTTTCTACGTAGTGATAAATGTTGCCATTTACCCCAGCGGTTTAATAACAACAAATAAGTATTACATTTTGAAGAAACTTGGCAGTATCATTGAATGCCAGTGTGTAATAGCTAATCTATAATTTAGGTTAATTCCATCATTAGTTTGTGACTTGAAATTCTTTGTTTCTGACTGTTTCATGACTTCTTTAAGCACAAAGAGGATATTGGTAGAATCAGGTATGTAGCAAAAGGTCTAGAAATACAGTTTTGATTATTTGAAACACTAGTATTTTAAAATCCAGCAGATGCATTCCTTTGCCTAAATATATTGTGTCTTATGCTATAAAGAGGACACATTTTGTTTTGTTTTAGTGTACATATTAAAACAGTTTATATCCCAAATAAGCTAATATGACTAATGGTTGTCACTGCCCTAATTTTGGGGAAGAAAGTTTGAATCAGAAAAGTGTTCTTGGAAGAAGAATACTCTTTTTTCCTATCTATTTAGGCATTCACTGGAACTTTCTTTACTTCTAAAATTTATGCTTGAAATGGCTCAGAGTTTGTGTATGTGGAGCATATTGGAGGCTGATTGTATCTGTGAGTTTAGGAAAGACTTAACTTGATCCCTTGTGCAATGAAGTCTTTCAAAGAAAACGAGGGTTTTTTGTTTTTTTTTTTTTTTCTATAAGGTAGAGTGGATATTCAGGCTCAGATTTTAGCTAAATTAAGAAGGACCTTTCTCTGTCCAGAATAGTATCACAAAATTAAGACTGGCTCTGGAAGAGAGACAGAGGATGCCCTCTTTTCATTGTCATACACCATTTGAATTGTGTTTGATAAATTTATATTGTGACCTTGAAAATGAAACCACTCAGAAATCCTGGTTAATTTCTGCCCCATGCGTCAGTCTCAAAGGGGAGACCTGCCTTTGCCAACAGACCATTCAGTAAGAAACAAAAATATTAAAACTCCACAATCACAACTTATATGGTCAATAATGGTTTCAAAAATTAAAAAAATTGATCCTGGCATATTTACAAGCAATTATATATAAATACAGGAACATGTATATTATGAATTTTCTTTAAACTATTTGCCTGCATTGATTATAGAGAGAATGAAGCCTCACAATGAAATCTGATTGAATAAATTTAAACACTGTTGTGATCACGAGCGTTGTTTTATTAAGTCACTGGAATGTAAGATACATGAAGCCTGAAATTTTAGTTGTTGTTATTGGAGGTTTATTTATTTTCTCCTACTGCTTTATCTTCAGGATCTAGAACCTTGCCTGGCAGGCAGTAGGTACTCTTAACATTATTTGTTTAGTGAATGAAGAGAAGGGTGTAAGAAGCATCTACCTCTGGAGATAAAAATACAGTGAGGTGAAAGAGAAGTATATATTTTCCTTTCTCCTTGTTTAGGTTATAAACTGTCATATCCATAGCGCCTAGATCAGGGCTTGGTAGTTACTCTGAAATTGAAAGATTCAATAAGTGAATTTTTACATGAAGAAAAATGTGAACTGCTGATTTTGTCTGTTATATCAATTGTCATTTTACTTTTGCTCTTTTTGCCAATTTCTAGAATTTTTTTCTTATTTATTTCATAAATTTGTAGTCATTTAGCAATTCAACAATTATAAACATTTGGAAGTTCTGTGTATTTGTGGGTATAAATAGATTTTTTTTCTGATTTAACACTGCTTTCAAATTGCTTATTGAACTATAGTGGAGAGGAAAAAAAAAGAACTTTTCTTCTACCTCTTAGGTTTAGAAGTTAAACTACAAATTAAACTGACAAAAGACAGAGTAACAGGAGAAAAGGCATATTAATTTTATTAATATTTTAAATTTTGTGTGCATAAGGGCTTCAAAGTAAGGATGTGAAAATCTTAAAAAGCAGTTAGACTTGGGATTTTCTATACCGTTTTAATGAATGGTGATAAATTGTGGAGGAGTGACTAGACAATGGAAAGGGGATTTGAGCTTCTAGCGCCAATGAAGTTTGGGAAAGTGACCAAAAAACATGGGGAAACTAATATTATTATCTAATCATAACAGATAATGTTATTTTAGTAAGGTTATTTTAGTTAAGTCTGCATATACAGTCTCATTCCAGCGCCAGCTGTTTGTCTGTGCTAAGGGTCACTTTCCTCATCCTGGAATGGAGGGAAAGGGGGCATTTATGTCATCTTCAAAAAGGAAAATTTATGTACTACTTTTCGGCAGATAACTGGAGAACGGAGAACTTTTCCCAAATCTGTTTATTCTTACTTGTCTTCAGCTCAAAATAATCCTTATGCCAGAAAGGCATATTTTAGGGTGTCATACTCGAGACCCCTTCATAATCATTGATTAAAACATATGACTGTTTCTGATAGCATATATAGCCTAGGAAAAATGTCATAGGTAGTGCTGGTGGTTGTTGGACATGCTGTTGCTTATGTACCTTTGAGTGAAGCTATTTTTATTTCCTGTTATGCTTACTGCTTGTTTTCCTGAAGGTAAAGCTGTAAGTTACAAATATATGTGACCCAATTCTTAACAGCTTCTGCCAGGACTGACCCTATATCATCTCAGGTATGTCCTCAAGGGGACGTAGGGGAAGGGGAAACAGTTCTGTTTTCTCATTTGTGCAGTCTTTGATTTCCATAGAAAGTCAAAAGTCATTCTAGTAATACACACTTAGGAAATGTGAAGTGCTATGACTCATTTTATTTTGGCTTTGCACAGTGTAGAAAATTTCTTGGCTAGGAAGAAATTCCTTTTCAAACTACCAGTCCTCCCCAAACAATTCTCCTCCCTTCTGAATAGGTAGTTCTCTCTTTGCACAGACATTCTTCTGGGCTTAGCTGCTGTGTAACCTCTTAACCCTTCATTAATAATTTCCTGAGGCCAGTTTGTTATAAAGAAATATTGCAGCACAGACAGTGTGTGAGCAAGAGAGAGAGAGAGAAAGAGCGAGAGAGAAAGAGAGAGAGACACACACACATACTACTTTTTAATGACCAACTAGAATGGGGTTAATGCTCTGAAAGAAATAAAAAAAAAAGTACACATTAGACTTTTTCCCCATTACTTTGCACGTTAATCAAGGAGATCACCCCCTTAGGCAGAAGGTAATAAATACTTTTCAACTTCTCTCTGTTATTCAGAATAAATGGCTCATTTCTATATTATACACATATTTAAATGCTTTGAGTATTTAAAAGAATAATCATGAATCTTTCAAAGAATTCTTAATAGTAGGAGACCGTTGGTGAGTAAATTTATCTCTTTTTGGTTCTTAACAAAAGAGATAGTCTCTCTTTTCTTGAAGAAATCACCAAGGAACTGGATGTTTTCAGAGATGGACATTTGGGCTTCCACTCTCCTGCGCTATAATCCTTTCTCACCTTTCTCATATTTCAGCAGCACAGGACCTCGGTGAATTTCACACTGGTCCCTTGGCTAGCCAGTAGAGCAATAAACCTCCCATGAGAAATGCTGTGAATTACACAGAGCTGTCATTACTCAGGGGATACGGGGCAATGATCAAAATGCTGCCTCCACAGAGAAATGCTCACACTCTAATGTTAAGTGAAAAAGCAGGGTGAGAATAAGATTTTAAATATTTTTATGTATGCCCCCATAAATATTTCTATGTATGTAGAGGAACTAGAATGAAATACACTAAAATGTTGTAAGTATTTCATCTATAAAGGCTGTAGGGCAGCGGTGGGGGTGTTGGTACTTTCCTTTCTAAAATACATAGTATTTTCCAAATTTCCTATAGTAAGCTTATATTACTACTATATTAGAAACAATGCTGTGCTAATTCCTTAAACCTAATTTAAACAGAGGGTTCAGGGAAGGCAAATACAAATAGCATTTTCTCCTATTGTAACGGAAAGCACCTTAATATGCCAAGACTTTTTTTAGAAGCCTAGGAGGTGGCATTCTTAAAGGTGGCCCTTCAGGCTTAAGATTTAAAATTGGCTCTTAATTTTATCCCAGAGCTCGATGTGGATATAGTCAAAGCGGCCGCAGCAGTCGGTGCAGGAGAGCCATCACAACAATTATCTATGTTGTTTTTGGCAGTTTATAAGAAATGTTGTTTTCACAAGACCTAAGAGTTTTGTCTGGGAAGAAAGAAGATAGCTGCCAACATTTGGCACCATATGGGGTTTTCGTCTTTTCCTTTTTTTTTTTTTTTTAGCTGTACATCCCCTCTTGAGCCTTGAAGATCAAGACAATATTCTGGGAGGTTTTTTTTTTTTTTAGTACACTTGTTGGAAACATCTGGAAAATGCCATTAGGTTGCACACCATGGACTTCATTTATAGACAAGTGTGTGAGATAAAAAACATGGAAAGAAAATCCCTGCTTTGCAGCTGCATTCTATGGCACACCATCCACAGTGTGTGTGTAGACCGTAGAGACTTGCTATTCACACTTATTGAGACTAGCAGATCGAGAAACTGTAAATTAATTTCCCTTTCTAGGCATAGAATGTCCGTCAACCATACCAGAACCTGTCTCTTATTGAAGTCAGGCAGTTTCTGATTTTATTGCTACTTTGCTTTTACCCTAAGGCTGCACATTCACACTCTCCACAGTATATGGACATCATAGTCAATGTAGAATATTTTGTCCTAGGAAATATTATTTAGTTTTTGGAAGAAACACTGCAGATTGTGCTTATGACACTAAACTGAATCAAGGATTCAGTTTAAAGGATTGAGGGGAAAAGGCTGATAGTGACAATCTCGTTTCTTAGACCTCTTTTTGCTGTTATACCTCAACTAAGGCAGTTGTTTTGTGATACCACCTCTCATTAATTTATCTACACATAAATAAGGAACTAAGCAACAAATAAATAAACAAGGAAACAAAACCACACAGTTTTATTTCCTGAATTTCAGTTTTTCTTGTTGTCCTGTCTTTCATTGTCATCCTTCATTTTGATGTTTACTTAGTTTAATTCCATGTTTCAAATGAAAACTACTGTCTGCAGAGTCTAGAACCCCTGAAAGTGCATTAGCTAGGCCATGTCAGGGGAGAACTTTAAATTAAAAGAGAGTTTTGAGTAGAAAAGTAAATGTGGAGTCTTTTGAGTAGGGAAATAAGTGCCAAAGTAACCCTCTGTGTAACCTGCAGCTAGTCCATCCATAGCAGAGGGTTACAGAACCACAGCTGTTCATACACACAGATCCTGAATAAGAGATGGCTGGGCAGAGGGCTTGTGTGCGTTCCTGCTTTTACCCCTTTTAGTCTTTTATCTTGTTTACTTCTTAGGAGCTAGAATCCCAGCAGATGAGAGGGCGATCTCTTTGGTCCATTCTGCTGACCTCCCTTCTTTATGTCATTTGAGGTTTGTAATGTTGACTCATTAACACTGCTTTACTAGGCTAGCTGAGCAGAGAGATTCCCATTTCTGCTTCCAGCCTTCTTAACACTGCAACTGAGATTTCTCTGCTCCTGCTTCTTTTTCCCTGAAGTAACATTAAAAATTATTTCAAGCATTCCTAAGTAAACTGGGTGATGTCTTCTTACTGCTTTTGGTCTGGAAATTTTCAAGGGCAAGAAAGTCTTAACACATATGAAAACATGAACTGGGAGTGATTGAGATACTGTGTTGCCTAGCCCTCTCCTTCTGGTCTAAGTGAGGTCATTTTCTAGGAGGTGAAGTCATTATCTTAGTCATGTATGTTGTTGGCAGCAAGACTAGAACACAAGTCCAACTCTCAGTCCCGGGCTCTGTCTGTCTCATCATGACGTGTCTTTCTGTTCCTGTGGTCTTGATGATAAATAGATAAACTCTGGAGAAAAGACAGTAGCTCTTCCTTCGGGGACCTAGGCAAATTTGAGCTCACTATTACCTCAGAAAAGGGGTTGTTGTTTAAAATCCTGTATAATTTCTAATGCCATGCTCATTAAATAAAATAATACCAAGGCCATTTTTCATCACAAAGGTGGAAACCTCACTATAGCATGCTTGTTTATAATTTTTATTGATAAATGAAATCATCTTGGATGAAATAATATATAGTATACGTTAAAGTGGGTTGGTTGCTTTTCCTAAGTTATACTTTTTATATTTCTGTTTACCATATGCTGTGAAACCAAAGCTATTATTTTTGCCTCATTCTGATAACATAGTCCATATTCTAGGTGGTAGATAAAGAAATATTTCAGCATTTACCTTAAAATTCTTGTTTTTTTAAAGTTGTTTCCTCTCTATCTTCTCTGCCAGATGTGAGTAATACTAACAACTAGTACTTTCTGTAGGATTCACAGTTCTGTCTGCATATTCCATAGGCTGTTTTTAATAGGCAGGACATAACCTACTTTCATTCAGTTTTTCATAAATATAACAAATGTTACATAGTTTACAAGAAGAAATATCAAGGCTAAAGCCTCTTGTTGGCATGATAACTATTGCCAAATCAAATATGGGAAGAGGATAGAATATGAATTCTAATTTCTTAGTTCCAGTAGTTGATTTGGATCAGACGCGATCAGCTCCTGGCAGCAAAGGGCTGAAATCCTTCTGATAATGAGCCTGGTGATTTAGGAGTCAGATTGGGCCCATGAGTGAATATTATAATAGAGGGAGAGAGTGGTACAATGTTGGATGTTTTTCAGAGAGAATTGAAACTAAACTGCTGAGTCTCTTTGGTCATTAAAATTCCCAAGGTGCTTTTTGCAAGATTATGAGTTTTTAGCCAGCATCCTGACCAAATGAGTAATTGCTCTGCCAATCGCTCCTGCAATTTCATTTGTACAAGGTCATTGCATCCACTTCCTGAGCTAAACTGTCACATTAAGGGAGAGTAGCCTCTTTGAGAGAGAGTGATCTCTTTAATTCACAAATTCATTTGCCCCCCTGCTTTGGGAAAAGAGACAGTAGTTGCTTAGCATCTATAAATAGGAGCTATATTTTTTCTGTTTTTCCTTTTTTCTTATAAATCTTTGGTTTTTGGTTTAGACTTCTGTCTAGAAGAAAGCATATTACTGTTGTGAATTTTCCCTACTGATTATATATATATATATATATATATATATATATATATATATATATATATATGTATGTATATGTATATATACACATATATATAATTTAAAATATTAAGAGATGTCTATAAAATCTGTTTATTATTCATTTAACAACTATTTAGTTAGCATTTATGACATATGCAGCAAGATACTAGTCACAGATTAAAAAGCAATGAGCAGAATGTACAAAACTTGTGGTCTCCTGGAGTTTACATTTCTATTGAGGGGAGAAAAAAGGACAAATAACATATAAATAAGTAAACTATTGGTATGATAGAAAATGGTCAGTGCTGTGTTTTGGGGGTTAGAGAGTGTGGGGATAGGGCACATTGTTGCAGTTCGAAATAAGTCACCGAGGGCTGACTGAGAAGGTGACTTTGAGCACAGATCTTGCAGAGATGGCAGAGAAGGCCTTCACAGACAGGGCCAAGGGGAGAGGCAAATGCCCTGGGTCAGAATGTGCCTAGCAAGATTGAGGATCAGCAAGGGGGATTGTGTTCTGGAGGGGGTCATGTAGATGAGTGATGAATTTTATATAGAGATGATTATTTCTGCCGAGTGAGAATACACTGTAGGGGAGCAAGGGAGCAAATGCCGTGATAGTGACTTAGGCCAGAGCAAAGTAGGTAAGTGGTCAGGTTTTGGATTTATTCTGAAATGAGAGCTGTTGGTATTTGCTGGCGGACTGGAAATTGGGAGTTGAGATGGATTGTCAGGCGCCAGCCTGAAGGTGCCACCTGTGGGACTTGGCAGGCATTTTTGTCTTCACATGCAGTTTTTGTCTTGAAAATCTTCAAGCTACTTGTTAATTGCCCTAGCGTGCTAACAGTGGACACATGAATTGATTGTGATGGTGAAAGTATGTAAGAGACACACATTGGTGATGGATTTTATTTTTCATTTTTAATCATGATAAGAAGTCAGTGCATGTGAGTAGATCAATAGAAGAGAAAGAAGCAAACATTGCATTGATTTGGAAGCATATAAATAATGCCTAGTGGAAGACAGGCCCTTTTTTTATTTACAGAGGAAGATGTGCCAGAATAAAGAATTCCATTTAGTGATAAATATAGCTAAGACATACTCAGTGTTTACCATCTACTAGACATGCATGTAAGCTCTTAACACATATTGATACCTTTAATGATCACAGAAGACATTTGAGTGAAATTACTAGCATTAATCCCAATCTAAGAAGAATTTAAGCCACAAGCCAAGGTCATGTGGTTTTCAGCAAGGGCAGTCTGGCTCCATGGCACATGCCTTTAATCGTTACAGTGCCTCTAATAGCCACTTTAATTTGTTAGAACTAAAGCTCTAATTTGGCTAGGTGCTAAGCAGACTTGCTCAATTTACAGTTTCATTTCTTAAATGTAGACAAGTCAACGAGAGTTCTTAAATACCTTGGAGTTTATTCTTACTAACACAACATATTTGTTTTAAGGGAAAGCCTGGACGTTTGGGATGAGGAAAATCCACAGTGGAAGAAAAGGCAGAGTGTGAAAATATGGCTTAGTGAAATTAGGTTTAAATTCTGGTTTATTCACTTTTTAGTTACATGATCTTGACTTCACCACTTAACCCTTCTGAGCACTTAATTCTCTAATTTGTAAAATGTTAACATTAAGAACTAGTTCACAGGGACTTCTGGCAACATGCTTGGTCTGCTTAATAGATTTTAGTTTCTCTGCCCATCTTCTTGGCTAGATAGACTGAAAATGAATGTAGGGGTTTCTGAAAACAAATTGGGTCGAGTGAAAAAAAAAGGTTTGATGCAGGGAGGCCAATAAAACACTCCAATGTAGCTCCACAGGAGAACATTTAAAGCAAGAGGTTTTGTGCACTTATAGTGGTGCTTGTCAGAGTTGAAAGTGCATTTGAATCCTCCCGGATCTTGTTAAAATGCAGATTCTACATCAGTAGGCTTGCGGGTGGGGCCTGAGATTCTGCATTTCTAATAATTTGATGTGATGCTGATCCTGCTGGCCTGTGCACCACACTTTTACTAGCAAGGACATATGAAAATAGATTTATGAAGAAGTACCATGGGAATTTAGAGCGAATAATATCAAGGTTGATACCAGTAAAACAGTTTAACAGAGCTTCTCAGAGATGAAATGAGCTACATCATAGGTATTAATTCCCTGCCTAAGGCTGTATTTGCGTCATTTCTGATCTGTGCTGTTGATATATTGATACACCGGGGGGTTGAGCCAGACTTGAATTTTCTGTTACTCATTGGTAGGGGTTACCCTTAAATAGAAGTGAGTAGAGCATTTAAGCATTATTAGTTACATAGGTTCCTGGGCTATAGGGCACCAAGCACAGATTTTTTCGAGGGAATTCACTCACTGAAAAGATAATCAGATTAAATGACTACTAATGCTCATTTTAACCTTGGGATAGGACGTTAAGTCACACATACTCTAGCCGAGAGGGATAATCTGAGATCTGTATGGTATCTGTCTAACACATATTACTAAGCAGAAATCTCAGAATTCCTTAAAGGTTTTAAGAGGAAATTATTCATTGTATTCATAATCATTCATATCCATTTGATTGCTCTCTAATCACAATATTGCAATTATACATAATTATATATTGTAATTATACATGTTGTTACAATATAATTATAATTATACATATATAATTACAATATAATAATATTATAATTATATAATATACATGTATATTATATACATCTATTCCTTTAGTGTATTGGTAGCAGTATTTTTTTTGTCTGTTTTAGGTCTTGGTGATTTGTGCTCTTACTGTTTCTCAGAATTTTTCAAAATTTAGCCTGTAAGTTACTAAGAAATGTAAATGGATAGGGCATGGTTATTGACACAAATACATTCTTCTTTTCCCCTCAATTTTCATACAGCTGTAGTGTTACTAGAAAAAAGTATCTATTTATGGGAAGTGTTTTTCTCTTCTCCTGTGGAATCTTAAAGGCTTATTTTCAAGTATTTCTAGAGCTGCCACCTGTTAAATTATAGTGATTCTATGCTTTGTAGATATTTTTTAATCATGAAAGAAGATAAGCTAGAAAAATAAAGTACATTCGATGTTGGAAAAATGTTACAGGCTTTTTGAATCCTGTTTGCGTTGAGCTCTTGGACCCTCCTCCCCTGGCCAGCCTTCTGGAGCGCCTGTGAGCACAAAGGAATGGCATGTATTTATACTTGTGTAAATACGATCCTGTATGCTCTCCACTGAGAACATGCAGGCGGCCCTTTTATGGTCAACAAGGGGTTTTCCCTCTCGTCTTTAGGCAGACCACAGGGCTACGTGCTCAAGAGTGTATTTTTGATGCCATCCATCAGAATGCTTTCATAATCTGCCTCCCTTTTATAAAATCTTGGAAATGACTTTGTTATACTTGCCTTTATTCACTAATAGATCATCCAGGAACTTATGAAGACTTTCATGTAAAACGTCAAAGTTCTTTTATTTTATTTTTTTTCTAAGCCACCTCTGTTCCTGTTCAATTTTTACTTTATTAACAGGCTCTTCTTGCAAAATAGACCATATCACCTTATTATTTTGATCACATATCTCAGGACTCTCAGAATTGTTGGTATTCCTTCAACGAATATATGGTATCTTATTTTATCATGTAAGTAACTTCAAATTTTGTCTTTGATGAAGTCTCACGTATTCATATACCAAAAAGAAATCGTTAACCGGCCCAAAAGTTGAAAGAAGGATCATGAGTGGGTAGTGTTTGGAAACAGCATTGAGCAAACACATTATTTGGTATTTTCTTTTGCCTTGGCATTTAAAAAATAGCAAATAATAATAACATTGATTACAATAACATTATTTTAAAACTGATGCATTCTAGAAAATGATAAAGCTAATGATAAACCACCTTGTTTCTCTCAGCACAGTATTCCTGTGAAAGCTGTTTGGATGTCCAGCTCTAAAACAAATGTTCTGTCTAAAATTACAGAATAAAGTTTGTGGAGAGGCAATAACCTTTCATGGTTGTTGACCGTCATCCCGTGCAGTTTCTCATTTGTAAGAGGATATTTCATTTTCAATCATTTTCTATAAATTGCTTAATTGCATGGGAAAAAATGTTAAATAGCATTACTTTTAAACTGTATACGTTATTGAAGAACCCCTTCATTATGTTTCACTTACCTCACAGATCTCTATCTATCCCTTCAGATTTCAGCTCAGTGATCACTGCGTCAGTATGGTCTTCATTATTAATTCACAATTTAGTTTACAAATACTTATTGAACACTAACTATGTGCTAAGCCATTGGTCTTTTGGGTCTTAAGAGTCTCTTACACCTGTGAAGACTGTTGAAGATGCCAAAGAGCTTTTGTTTGCATACATTATATCTATTGATAGTTACCACATTGACGTTAGAGCCAAGAAAGTTCAAACATATTTATTTGTTATTCATTTAGAAATGGCAAGGATAAACACATTAACATATTTATGAAAAAATATTTTCCAAAGTAAAAACAATTAGTGAGGAGTGTGGTATTATTTTATAGTTTTGAAATTTGCTTATGTCTGGCTTACTTGAAGACAACTGAATTGTCATATCTGTCTCTGCATTCAGTGATATCACACAGTAGGTAGCCCCAGACAAACTTGACTGTACACTTATAAGAAAATGGGAGTGAAAAAGGCAAAAAAACACCTCTTATTATTATTCTGAAAATACTTTAGATGTTACAGACCCACAAAAGGATATTCTGGACAGACACCCAGAAATTCCCAGACCACACTTTGAGAACCTTAGACATTGGGTATCGATCAGTGCACAAAAAGGCACAGATCTCTTCCTTTGAGGGCCTCTGTTTATTCTAAGAGTACCAGGCAATTTCCCTTTTTAATAGTTTAATTTTCCCATGGCAAGGTAGTCTCCAGAAATGTCAGGGACTTGTTTTTGAATTTCACGCATTGTTTTACTTTTCTGATCTCCATTATTAAACATTTATTGAGTAAATAGATAAAATCAATTGTCCAGAGTGTTGAATATATATTTCATAACCTATATTTAGGGCATTTACTTTACTATTTAATAATATAGACAAGATTCCAAAATTTTAGAAAAGACTGGCTTAACTCTCTGGATTAAGTACTGTAATTTTTGAACTTTTTCAGGATACTTGGAAATATTTAAGTACCCAGGAAGGAAAGGCTGATCTTGAAATTGGAAAACAATTGATTTGATGTAATAACTAGGTAGATTTCAATATGGTTCTTTGACTTCAAACCAGTAGTTTGATTCTTTAAATATGTATTTTTAGTAATTCACATTGTTGAGCAATTAAACGCTTTCATATGTGACTAATCTACTTGAATTATTGTTGATTGCTTCAGATATTCTGAGGAAATGAGAAAATCAGCTTTTTCCTTTGCATGTCATTCTATGTAGGGAACAGTGCTTCTAGAAACTAGTGTTGCAGAGCAACTGCAATTGTTTACCAATTTCAGTAACTTCCTTTACAGTAAGCTTCTGTTAACTTTATATACTGTAATCCCAAGTAGTTATATTTCCATTTTTATGTTGCATTCTGTCAACGTGAGGCTGGTAGCAGTTTTAGAAGTTTTGTATTATCTGGGTAATATTTAAGGCATAAGGCTTGTAGAGGAATGATCAGAGTTAGAAATCAATTAACACTTCTTAGAAGGGGGTGTTCATTTAATTTCTGCTGAGGACACATTGATGTCAACTTGATTTTGAAAGGCATTTTATGTAACAAGCCACAATTTAAATATAAAACGATAAAACATTTTGTGCATATATTTCATTTGGCTAATAATACAAGTCTGATGTGAATTCCACATTGTCATTTAAGTGAAAAATGTGTTTTCTTACATATAAGATTTGTATAGACTCATCTCTTCAAGCCCACTTTTATGAGCCTAATTTTGTTTTTTAGGTTTATGTGAGAAAATCCAGTAACTGAGAATAAGGCCTTGCTGACTATAGGATTTTATTTCATGTAAGGTTGAAATTGCCTGTTATTTCTTGTTTCTATATCTGACTCATCGAGTTATTTTTCTAGTGAATTCACATTGTTCATGATGTCAGTATTGCAAGTTTATGCACATATTATTGTATAATACAATGTAAGATAATCAGAAAAAGATATAACTTTAAAGCGGTGATCTAGTAACTACAGTAGAGCTTTAGGGTAGAGCTTGGCATACCATTAAGCCTAAAAAACGATATGTAAATTAAATAGCCAAAGTTCTTTAGTTAATTAATAATAGAGGCCCAGCCTTTATTCATCTTAAGGCTGAGAGAGAAGCCATTATATTGTTTGGATGCATTCATGGACAATACTGAATCACAAATTGCAGACCCAAGGAGGGCTGTATTCTGTACTGGTTTTGACCTCTTGTTAATAGGAATTATGATATTTGATGGGATTGTGGTTTTTACTCCAAGTGAATTTGGTTTTAAAATTTAAAATTACTATACCTATTTTAATACTTAGATTATTTTTCTAAGGATTGAACAATATAAAATAAATTGTATTTATATTAATAATAGTTTACTTATATTATTTATAATGTTGTTGTGCTATTATATTAGTATGTTCATTAAAGTATTAAATATACAGATCATAGATAACTTTTAGATTTTTCCTTTTGAATAAAGTGCCTAAAATTCACTTGCAAATAACCACTTTTAATATTTTCTTACACAGCTTTTTATAACTTTTTACATATGAATACTTACTCATATCTTTATTTTTTACAAACATGAAATTTTATATGTATGTTATTAAACATGCTTTTTAAAATCTGAGTTTTGTCAGTTTTTTAAATATAAATATTGACTTGTTATTGCCATGGTTCTTACACTGTTTTAGATCATTTGATATTATAAAGAAATCTATGGAATATTTCCTTCCCTCAAAAAATGTATCTGCAAGAAAATGTATAAAGTTTTATGGGTCCCAGGACCATGAATCTCTGATCAAGAGCCATTGGTCATGTCATCAGTTCTTAACTGCTTCATGGATTCTAACTTAAGTTTACACAGCTTAAGTTTTATTTAATCAGCACGTTATGATTGGATTCTAGGATTTTTTTATTTAGCGCTTAGGATCTGCTCTACAGTGAATACCTTGGTATCTACATACCTTTTACATATCTCTATATTTCTTTCATTAGAGTGACTTCCTAGAACTTGAATGATTGGATCAAAATTTTACCTTTTTTCCTAGTATGTTATGTATGTGTGTGTGTGTGTATTTTCATATAACAAACTAACTTAAAATTGTAAAAATTTGTCCTTTCGTAAGAAATCTGTATGTAAAAGTACTGTTTCACCTCATTTGGCATAATTCTCCCAATCTTTGCCAACCTGATACTACACAAATTTAATATATTAATTTAGTAGGTTGTAAATGTATCAATATTAAGCACATTATTAAAATTGAGAAGAATTTTTAGTCCCTGGTTTTGTTTCTCTGTAATTTCTTCATTATTCTCTAAAGAACTTTATCTTAAGGTAATTTTTTTTTCCACCATGAATCAAGTTGCTACTGAAATACATTTGCCTTTCAACCAATATTAGGGTTGTATTGTATTGTGTAAACACAGGAAATAGTTTAGAGATTTCAGGCACTTTAGAAAATATGTTTCCACCATGTTCAGATAGGTGAATATGCCTTTCTTATTTATTTATTTAGAAAAGTTTTGTTTTGTTGCCCAGGTTAGGTTGCAGTAGCACGATCACAGCTCACTGCAGCGCCAACCTCCTGGGGCTCATGTGATCCTCCCACCTCAAGCCTCCTGAGTAGCTGGGACTAAAAACTGCCACCATGCCCAGATGAATTTTTTGTATTCTTTGTAGAGATGGGGTTTCACTATTTTGCCCAGGCTGGTCTTGAACTCCTGGGCTCAAGCCATTTGCCTTCCTCAGCCTCCCAAATTGCTGGGGTTACCAGTGAGCCACCGTGCCTGACCACCTTTCTTATTTTTAATTATTCAAGTAATTTCTTTGAATCTTCACTTAGGGTTTCATTGTGGTGGTCTCCAGAAGAAATACCTCATATTGGGTTTGCGGTGGAAAGATAACAAGATTTTTTCCAGCTTTAGACATAATTTTATGCGTTCAAATTATTGAGAAACAAGAATCAATGCTTTAAATGATGATGTTTCCAAGATTGCATCCTTGATCCATTCTCTTAGTATATCCTTTTCTTCAGAAATGCCTTCTATCACTATGGCTTCAATAACCATGTATTTATTGATAATTTCAAATCTCTTTTTTCAGCACACACCTTGCTTTTTTCACTCAGACTCATCTGTCCATATGCGTGCAGTGCTGTCTACGTGGATGTTCCCTTAGTGCTTCAAGTTTGACATGTTCAAAACTGATCTTATTTCTCAGCTCTTAAATTTGGTTCTGGTCATGAATTCCATTGCATAGAGCATAATATTTTTCATCAAATTGTTCACATCAGAAACCTGAGTCCCTCTTCTTCGTTCCTATTTTCAAATGTTTTCCAAGATCTGTTTTTGCTGCTTCGTTGACATACCTTAGGCATTCCTTTCAGTCCCCTCTGCTGCTTAGTTCAAGGCAATACGATAGTATTCCTGATTACTGCAGTAATCTCTAATTTGTCATTCTTCTTCCATTCGTCTACTCCATCCCATCCATCAACAATGGTGTCCGACATGTCAGTCTTTTAAAATTTCTTCACAGCTCTGCTTTGCGTTTGGATAAATTCAAGTTCCTTTGCAAGACTTTTCAAATATTTCCTCTTTTTCCAATTGCCTTTTCCTGATTCTTCTCTAGTGTTTCTTCTATCCTACACTCTTCATCTACCTCATGATCTAAATACATGGAGAAGAACAGAAAGCTGAGTGCTGGGATTGGTAGGTTCCAGAGAAAGGGTAAAAAACTGTTGTTGTTGTATTTTTTAAGACAAAGTAATCATTTATTAAACCAACTAATTGTATTAGTTCTTCCCTCTCCTTTGGTTAGGAATGAGTTGAGAGGTGGAGGCCAAGGGGGAGAGAGACCTGAAATGTGGTAGAAATTCTCCTCTGAGAGTTTCCATTTCTCCCAATTTTGATCCATTCTTGAGATGCAGTCAAGGTTTGAAGTTTGAATACTCTCTAGGGGAACAAGGTCCTCCTCATAGTACCTGAAGAAAGATACTTTTTGAAACTCATTCTATTACGACGTTGGGTGGATACTGATTTCACTAAAAGACAGATCCAACTGTGATGGGAAGTCACAGAGCTAGCAAGTAGCAAGGTGTTTTTAGTATTTTCTGACACCAACCAAAGAGAGTGCTTATTTATATTTTAATATTAATCTCCAATGACCATAACAGGAAGAGGAAAGATACTGATTTGTAATTACAACTTCACATGTATTTTCGTTCTAGCAATTGTCAGGTTTTTTCCTCCCCTGTCTATGACCCCTAAATAGTCAGTATATAGATTTTATAAAATGTGTACTTGACATTTTAATTTCCTTGAGGGCAGGGACCTTGTATAATTTTGTATTCATGTTGTTTAACACAAGATCTAGCATATACAGTGTAGTCTCATTTTTCATGGTATTGATGGTCTGTAAAGCCATTGCAAACACTAAATTAATGAATAATGAACTGTTGCTGCTATGGCTCTTACAAGATTAGGTTCCTGCGAGTTCCTGGTCACAACATATTCGTCAGCTGATCAATACAAACCTTATTTTATGTGTGTTTCTGTATAAAGACATCTTATTTAATATATAGTCATGTGCTGCATAACCATGTTTTGGTCAATGATGGACCACATATATGACAGTGGTCTCATCAGATTTTAATGGAGCTGAAAAATTCCTATCCCTTAGTGAGGTTGTAGCTGTTGTAATGTTGTAGTGCAGTGTATTACTCACATGTTTGTGGTGATGCTGGTGGAAACAAACCTCCTGCACTGCCAGCCCTGTAAAAGTGTAGGACATAACATTATGTATAGTGCATAATACTTGATAAAGATAATGAATGACTGTGTTACTGATTTTTGTATTTGCTATACTATTTATTATTTTAGAGTATATTCCTATTACTCATATTTAAAAAGTTAACTGTAAGTCAGACATGGTGGCTCACGCCTGTAATGGCAGCACTTAGGGAGGCCAAGGCGGGCAGGTCATGAGGTCAAGAGATCGAGACCATCCTGGCCAACATGGTGAAACCCCGTCTGTATGAAAAATACAAAAATTAGTTGGGCGTGGTGGTGCACGCCTGTAGTCCCAGCCACTCGGGAGGCTGAGGAAGGAGAGAATCGCTTGAACCCAGGAAGCAGAGGTTGCAGTGAGCCGAGATCATGCCACTGCACTCCATCCTGGGGACAGAGCGAGACTCCATCTGAAAAACAAACAAACAAAACAAAACAAAAAAACGTTAACTGTAAGAAAGCCTCAGGTATGTTTTTAGGACAGATTCCAGAAGAAGGCATTATTATCATAGGAGATGACATGTCCATGCCTATTATTGCCCCTGAAAACCTTCCAGTGGGATAAAATATAGAGGTGGAAGACAGTGATATTGATGGTCCTGATCCTGTGAAGGCCTTGGCTAATGGGTGTGTTTGTCTCTTCTGTTTTTCATTAACAAAGTTTAAAGGTAAAACAAAATAAAAAAAATTTAAAATTAGAAACAAGCACATAGAATATGGATATAAAGAAAGAAAATACTTTTGTGTAGTTGTGCAATGTGTATTTTAAACTAAATGTTATTGCAAAAGAGTCAAGTTAAAAAATTTAAAAAGTTTATAAAGTAAAAAGTTACAGTAAGCTAAGGCTAGTATATTATGTAAGAAAGTAAAATATTTAACAAATATATTTAGTGTAGCATAAGCATTTAGCCTTTATAAATTCTACAAAAGTGTACAGTAATGTGCTAGGCCTGAAAATCACTCACCACTCACTCACTGACTCACTGAGAGCAACTACCGGTCCTGTAAACTCTGTTCATGGTAGGAACTCTATACAGGTGTACCATTTTAAATCTTTTATATTGTATTTTTGCTGTACCTTTTCTATGTTTAGATATATAATACTTACCGTTGTATTACAATTGTCTACAGTTTTCAGTACAATAACATGCTTGACAGGTTTGTAGTCTGGGAGCAGTAGGCTGTACTACGTAGCCTACGTGTGCAATAGGCCATACCATTTAGGTTTGTTTAAGCATGCTCTATGATGTTAGCACAATGACAAAATCGCCTAAAGACACATTTCTCAGAATATATCCCAGTTGTTAAGTGACTCATGACTGTATATTGGTGATTCATTAACATTAAGCACAAGGCACTATAATTCATGCCTGAAGGAAGCTTATCTAACACACATATTTTCTCTGTAAAGTCATGTGTTAGTTCATTTTCACACTGCTGTTAATATAAAGAACTACCTGAGACTGGGTAATTTATAAAGGAGGGAGATTTAATTGACTCACAGTTCCACATGGCTGGGGAGGCCTTGGGAAACTTACAATTGTGGCAGAAAACAAAAGGTGAAAGGTGAAGAGGAAGCAAGGCACGTCTTACATGGTGGTAGGAGAGAGAGAGGCGGGGAAAGTGCTACACTTTTAAACCATCAGGTCTTGGGAGAACTCATTCTCTATCACAAGAACAACATGAGGGAAAATGCTCTTATGATCCAGTCACCTCCCACTAGGTCCCTCCCTTGATATGTGGGGATTACAATTTGAGATAAGATTTGGGTGGGGACACAGAGCCAAACCATATCAAGGCACATCATAGCCTTGTGTCAAGGAACACTAGACAGCACTTCAGCACTATGCTTTGGGAAATTTTAAACAGCAAAATTACCAAATAATAGCAAAAAATTGAGAACAACCTAGCACTAAATATGCTGCAGAAAGGATGCTTGTTTACAGTTTGGGAGTTGGAACAAGAAGGCAGAGCATATCTTTGCTCCACCTCAGCTGTGAACAGCATCATCTTGGGTGACTTAAAGTTTTGTGTTGCTCTGTGTCTGTGCATGTCTGCCAACGACCACAAAAGATGCCGTGTATTGATTTTGGGGTTGCAAATTAATTGTAGCCAGTAGGTGAATTCACCAATATGGAATCTACAAATAGTAAGGATCTACTGTAGTTAAGTTTGGATATCTTATTAAATATATAAGCAGCATTTCATTTCACTTTATGACAAGAACATACAGCTAATAGCTAGTGATATCTACTGTGGGACTGCATTTCATTAGATTTCCTTCATTTAGGTCTTTAAAGAACCCTATGAATTAGCTGACTTTCTTGTACAGGTGAGGCAACCCCGATTCAGAGAAGGCATGGGATTTGCCCAAGGTCTGGCAGGTAGGGAGCGGCAGAGACTAGGTTCTCAACAGACAAGCCTGCCTCTACCATGTGATGATGATTAACTTTCATCCCATACTTTTGTTTACTTCACTCTTTGTGTGTGTGTGTTTGTGTGTGTGTGTTAGAAACTTCTTTTTTTTTTTAATTATACCTTAAGTTTTAGGGTACATGTGCACAACGTGCAGGTTAGTTACATATGTATACATGTGCCATGTTGGTGTGCTGCACCCATTAACTCGTCATTTATCATTAGATATATCTCCTAATGCTATCCCTCCCCCCTCCCCCCACCCCACAACAGGCCCCGGTGTGTGATGTTCCCCTTCCTGTGTCCGTGTGTTCTCATTGTTCAATTCCCACCTGTGAGTGAGAACATGCTGTGTTTGGTTTTTTGTCCTTGAGATAGTTTGCTGAGAATGATGGTTTCCAGCTTCATCCATGTCCCTACAAAGGACATGAACTCATCATTTTTTATGGCTGCATAGTATTCCATGGTATATATGTGCCACATTTTCTTAATCCAGTCTATCATTGTTGTACATTTGGGTTGGTTCCAAGTCTTTGCTATTGTGAATAGTGCCACAATAAACACATGTGTGCATGTGTCTTTATAGCAGCATGATTTATAATCCTTTGGGTATATACCCAGTAATGGGATGGCTGGGTCAAATGGTATTTCTAGTTCTCCATGCTCACGGGTAGGAAGAATCAATATCGTGAAAATGGCCTTACTTCACTCTTTGAACACAAACAGAGTGTGTTGTTCCTGAGTTTATACTTCCTTTAACTACATAAAGTGAATATTATGCTTGCTTTGATTGCTGAAAGGTAAACTCAAGTGTATTCACTTAGAAAATTAAAAAAAAATCCCTTAAAAGTGTAAATTGTAGGAAATGTGAAGGTGAATTAGACTCCTGATCAAAACAGAGCACATTAAATGTTCTTAATAATAGATTAAATTAGCATTACATTAGTAAGTAAATATCCATCTCTTACCTCTTTTGTTTATATATTTTCTAAAACTTTGAGCTATTTTTACCTCAAATCATATACTATAAATGTCAGGGTTAGTATTGCAGATGCTCTTTAAATGTTGCTGTAATATATTTCTTATGAGTAATGTATAGAACAATTTTCAAAAGAAAGAAGTCTTTAAAATAAAAAAGATAAAAGTACATTCCACTACCTAAGTTTTCTGTTCAACACATGTAGTTTAACAAAAAAAAAACTCCTATAAATGTAGTGTTTAAAATCCATGCAAAGATATGTTCCACTGTAAGTATAAACCATAATTCTGAATAAATATCTCCACTTCAGTTTAAGAGGATAGTTAACATAGCAAATGTCTGGGTGGTCCAAAGTTTCATGAAGCTTGAACATTCTAGGGAGTAGGGGCCAGTAAACTTAGTTTCTAATATTAACAGCCTTGCATTTGTCTATTGTCTTGGCCTTAGTTGTCCCAGCTCTAATAAACAGTTAAGGTGTGATGCTCTTGAAGATTACTGTGGGTTGTTTTTCTTGGATAGTTATGAAAGAGAATCACTGTTGACTCACCTCCCCCACAGGCCAGCTCTGTGATTGTCAAGTGTTCCAAAGCACATGCAATAACCGAAGACGTGAATGCAATCCTGGGTGACTTAAGCCTTCATGGATCTTTGACTATAATTTAAGTTTCCTTCCCAGTAGAAATATAATACTCTTTGTCCTGTAGCTTGGAGGCACTCTTAACAATCTTTTTATTGTCACTGTTATCTTTTCAGAAACTCTACATTAGCCTTCGGAAGGTAAGCCAAAAAAGTTTTAATAACAGGAAATACCTGCCATTTTACCCCTAATACAAAAGAATTCATGTTTATCAGTTTCAAGTTCTGGAAGGTCAGGATTCTGAGGCTGTCACGCCTTTTGCTTTCACAATTTTTTGTCAGTTTTGTCTATTCAGAATGATTTTACTGCATTCCACACTTGGCTGGCTACCCTCCATCCCCTCAGCCCCTACCTCCAACAATAGGTAGCAGGAAAAAGAAGTTAAAATACAGTTATGGGATTACTGGGCAGGGAAATTAAAACCAATAATAAGATGATAAGGGAAAGCAGGTGAGGCTGAATTTTATGTATAAACCTAGATTTATACATTTTAAACCTAAATTCTTTTATTTTTATTTTTATTTATTTTTTTGAGACAGAGTTTCACTCACCCAGGCTGGAGTGCAATGGCATGATCTTGGCTCACTGCAACCTCCGGCCTTCCTGGTTCAAGCGACCCTCCTGCCTCAGCCTCCCGAGTAGCTGGGATTACAGGCGTGCACCACCACTCCCAGCTAATTTTTGTTTTTTTAGTAGAGACAGGGTTTCACCATATTGGCCAGGCTGGTCTTGAACTCCTGACTTCAGGTTATCTGCCCACCTCGGCCTCCCAAAGTGCCGGGATTACAGGCGTGAGACGCTGCGCCCGGCCTAAACCTAGATTCTTAATAATTGTCTTGAGTATAAGGAGTCTTAACTTTATAATGGGATTTCATTTCTGTTTTCAATTACATAGTTGTTGTGGAGATGCCTTATTTAATAAAATGTCTTTTAAGGTAGTGTAAACAATTCATTCTCCACATTGGTCCCCGCCAAAAAATGTGATATTAGGATTTGCTAGCCTACAGATCCTACAGATTGATTAAGCTCAAAAATCTTATTGCAGTCTTTGGATATCCTTTCAGTTCCTCAGATTTGATGATGTTTGCCTGATTTTGCACATGCTCTTCCCACTGCCTGAAATTATTTTTACACAGGTCTGCCTGGAAAAATCATATAGCAATAACGACAAACTATATAGGATTTTGTGAATTAAATCTACTTTTGAACAAAAATCTCTTAAATGCAGATTTCTTAAAATCTGCTTACAATGTAGGCGAGTTACCCAGTATTCACACAATGGCATATAAGGGAGATGAAAATTAAAGTATGCTTTTAAGAAGTTAGAAACATGTAAGTCTAATGACAAATCAATCCAGTTAGTCAACCAGTTCATTTAGCTTAAATCCAGAATTGAATGGCAACCCATTTGGTGTTGTAACATCTGGCATATCACCATGTGTGACCCAAAGATTTTTTTTTTTAACATTTCTACTTGTGTGGGCCTTTGAGCAGGGCTGCACACTTCTCAGGACACTACAAGTTCTGGCCTGTCAACACAGGCATCTTGAAAGGACCATTTGAAAGTAGGAGAGGTAACTTGTGAAATCAAATATTTAAGAATGTTATCAACTATTTCTAATATCCATAAGTCACTAAAGGATAAATAGCCAGAGAATATTTTCCATTCTACTCTGCATAAAGATTGAGTGCTAGCTCCCTCTTTTCTTATTAGCTGACCTGAGTTAACCCTTACTGAACAGTAAATCATTCACTGAAGGAAGAAGAGGGGAAGAGGAAAGATTTTGTCTCTTTGGATAACTCTTTTGTGTTTTGGTATATTCCGGAAGGCTGTAAGAAGAGAGATTTCATGTGCAGATTCCATGGAGCAAAATGAGTTTTGTTTTTTTAAACGGAGAGTAGTTCTGTTTTTTTTATTGGCCTTTTTTTTTTTTTGCTACGAATGCTGATTTTATGAACTATGAAAATGGTCATTATAAGATATGCCACTTTTCTCCCTTTTATTTCCTTTCTCTTTTCTTCCCAACTAATATCTCACATAGATAGGTTGGGATATAGAATGCATTTTTGTTCTGTAATTTCTAAGGTTTGAACAGATACTGATAAAATTTCTTTACAAATATGTAGATACTTGAGTATTTGATTAAGACTTTTATTATTGTTGAGTCATTTCCCAAAAAGTTGACTGATTTGTATATTGTATCTTTTTGCTGGTTGCCATTTTGCACAATTTTTCTTTTAAAACTATTTCCAAATTGAGGTCTCAGTCTATTTCAGAGTATTTAAATAGCAAGGGTGTTACTGCTTCTTTGACTATTGCTCGCAGCTGACCCTCCTACATTGCCCCTTATAGATTCATGTATAGAGATTGTTTCTAAGTATTCCTTCTATTTGGAAGAGTTCATGCATACTCTTTATCATTTCTTTGACCGTTGTGTTTTATTATTTTGCTTAGCTCCCATGTAAGTACAATCGTGTATTGTTAACAGACAGTTCTCTTAAGAACCAACATCATAGAGATAAACAGTCCTTCAGTAACTATAAACTTTATTCTTAGGATAACCAATATGAGAAAAAGTGGAATCTCTTGTAAGCAATGTTTTCCAAAAGTCTATTATGGCTAAATTCTGTTCTTCAGGAGTTGTATACTAAACAGTCTTTAACACCATAAAAGGATATTTCTCATAGTCTCTTAAAAATGGTAAAAAGAAACTGAAGCAATGGATTTAAATTCAGGGATTTCTGGAGACAAGTATAGAGCGTGGATTGGGGTGCAATATCTCTTTGCAATCTATGCATCTTCCAGTCTCCTCCATTTGCCATTCAGGCCTCAGCCATTCTTCCTAGCAGCAAGTACCCGGGTATTTTACTGTTCAGCCAGCTGTTCTGAGCCTGTGTTTCACCTGTGCCTTACCCAGCCAGGTCTTTTTCATTTCTTTTATCCTGATGCAGTAGCTAGTAATCCCACGGTTACAGATCTAAGTGCAATGCGTGAATTTTCAATCTTTAAAGTTAAAATCAGGTAGAGCTGCAGTTCCAGCTACTTGCAAGGCTGGGGTGGGAGGATCTCTTGAGCCCAGGAGTTCAAGACCATCCTGGGCAACATAGCAAGACCCATCTCTTAAAAAAATCACATAGACGGATAGATAAATGGGTGCTATTAAATGACCTACTGACATGGTTTAGCTCTGTGTCCCCACCCAAATCTCATCTTGAATTGTGCTCCCATAATTCCTACGTGTTGTGGGAGGGACCTGGTGGGAAATAATTTAAATCATGGGGGCGGTTTCCCCCATACTGTTCTCATGGTAGTGAATAAGTCTCATGAAATCTGATGGTTTTATCGGGGTTTCCGCTTTTGTATCTTCCTAATTTTTCTCTTGCCACCACCATGTAAGGATTGCCTTTCACTTCCCACCATGATTCTGAGGCCTCCTCAGCCATGTGGAACTGTAAGTCTGATTAAACCTCTTTTTCTTCCCAGTCTTGAGTATGTCTTTATCAGCAGCATGAAAATGGACTAATATAGTAAATTGGTACCAGTAGAGTGGGGCACTGCTGAAAAGATACCCAAAAATGTGGAAGCGACTTTGGAACTGGGTAACAGGCAGAGATTGGAACAGTTTGGAGGGCTCAGAAGAAGGTAGGAAAATATGGCAAAGTTTGGGACTCCCTAGAGACTCATTGAATGGTTTGGCCAAAATGCTGATAGTGATATGGACAATGAAATCCAGGCTGAGGTGGTCTCAGATGGAGATGAGGAACTTGTTGGGAACTGGAGCAAAGGTGACTCTTGTTATGTTTTGGCAGAGACTGAAGCATTTTGCCCCTGCCTTAGAGATTCGTGCAACTTTGAACTTGAGAGAGATGATTCAGGGTATCTTGTGGAAGAAATTTCTAAGCAGCAAAGCATTCAAGAGGTGACCTGGCTGCTGTTAAAAGCATTCAATTTTAAAAGGAAAACAGAGCATTAAAGTTGTGAAAATTTGCAGCCAGACAATGCAATAGAAAAGAAAAACCCATTTTTGAGGAGGAATTCAAGCTGACTACAGAAATTTGCATAAGTAACAAGCAGCCCGATGTTAACCTTAAGACAATGGGAAAAATGTCTCCAGGGCATGTCATAGGTCTTCATGGCAGCCCCTCCCATCACAGACCTGGAAACCTAGGAGGAAAAAATGGTTTCCTGGGCCAGGCCCAGCGTCTCTCTGCTGTGTGCAGCCTAGGGACTTGGTGCCCTGCTCTCCAGCCACTCGGGCCACTGCTAAAAGGGGCCAAGGTTCAGCTTGTCCCATGGTTTCAGAAGGTGCAGTCCCTAAACCTTGCAGCTTCCACATGGTTTTGTGCCTGCATGTGTGCAGAAGCCAAAAATTGAGGTTTGGGAACCTCCACCTAGATTTCAGAAGATGTATGGAAACACCTGGATATCCAGGCAGAAGTTTGCTGCAGGGGTGGGGCTGTCATGGAGAACCTCTGCTAGGGCAGTGTGGAAGAGAAATGTGGGGTCAGAGCCCCCACACAGAGTCCCTACTGGGACACCACCTAGTGGAGCTGTGAGAAGAGGGCCACTGTCCTCCAGACCCTGGAATGCTAGATCCTCTGACAGCTTGTACCGGGTGCCTGGAAAACCACAGACACTCAACGCCAGCCCACAAAGTCAGCCAGGAGGGAGGCTGTACCCTGTAAAACACAGAGGCGGAGCTGCGCAAGACCAGGGAAACCTACCTCTTGAATCAGTGTGACCTGGATGTGAGACATGGAGTCAAAGGAGATCATTTTGGAGCTTTAAAATTTGACTGCCCAGTGAATTTTGGACATGCATGGGGCTGGTCGCCCCTTTGTTTTGGCCAATTACCCCCATTTGGGATTTTGTTCCAAATGTTGCTGGAATGCAACATTTGGGCATGAAAATAGGAGTGCCTGTCCTCACATAAGTCTGAGGGAAGAAGTCCGAGGGAAGAGGCTAGAGAGTGGAGCCCTTGCCAGGGACCCTGCCTTTATCTACCCAGTACTTCCCTCCTCCCCTCCTGTATCATTTTTATGGTTTTGTCACATGAAAATAATCTCTTTTTTCCTGAGTTTTCTTGGTTCTATCATGGTCAGTCTTTAACCTTTAAGGGTCATTAAGATCCTAAGCACTTAGGAATGATAATTCATTTATCCCACAGTTTCCAGTGTAATGCAGTAAATTGATTTGATATTAAATAAGCATTCATTGAATGAACAAAAGAATGAATTAGCTGTAGTAGTGATTACTGTCAGACAAGAAAAGATTATTGACATTAGTCAATAGTGTAGTGTAGTGGATCCCTGTCTTTCTGTCTTTTTTTTTTTTTTTTTTTTTTTTGAGACAGATCTTACTTTCACCCAGGCTGGAGTGCAGTGGTGTGATCATGGCTCTCTGCTGCCTTGACCTTCCCAGGCTCAGGTGATCCTCTCACCTCAACCTACTGAGTAGCTGGGATTACAGGCATGTGCTACCACATCTGGCTAATTTTTATATTTTTTTGTAGAGACGGGGTTTCACCCTGTTGCCCAGGCTGGTCTCAAACTACTGGGCTCAGGCAGTCTACCCGCCTCGACCTCCCAAAGCGTTGGAGTTACAGGCATGAGCCCTCATGCCCATCCCCCGTCTCTCTCTTTTTTTTTTTTTTAGAATAATACTGCCTCTAGGACACTACAGCCAATCTCTTGCCTTCAAATACTGTATGTATGTAGATGATCTCCATGTATCTATATCTAGAGTTCTGATGTTTCTCTCTAATTCCAAACCTGTATAATTATCTATCTGCAGAGATCTCATAGGCATCTTAATTTCAACATGACCAAAACAAACTCTTCATTTTCTTTCCTCAAATGTGCTTTTCCCCTATTCTTCTGCCTTCTTAAAGGTACCCGCCAGTACCATGTGCAGAGTTGCTAATGAAGAAAGTCTCAGTGGTTCTGTATCTGCCCTGATTGCATCCCAGTTCATCAACAAGCCAGTGAACTTCCTTCATATTGACTACCACCACCACTACTACACCACAGTAGCATCTTGAGCATCCTGAATTGTTTGCTTCCACTCATGATTGCCATTATTCACTTTGACCAGAGAGTCTTTAAAAAAATGCACATAAGAGCCTGTCCAGCCTTTCTTACCCTGGTTTCTGAAGCCTTTGGTGATCTGGCCTTTACCTGCTTTACTGACAAGATTATATACTAGTTTTTGCCTTTGCCCATACAGTTTTGGCCAACTGACATTTCCTTCCTGAAAACACATGGAGCTCCAGCTTGTCTGGCAAGTTTTTCAGTCCATCCTGTTCTCATGATTTCCTCAGTCTGGAATCTTTTATCTCTGATTATTCTTTCAATTTAGATTCCAGCATAAAGTTCTCCTCCTTCCTGAAGCCTCCTGCAAGGCCCAGCCCTATGTGCTGCCCTGACTCTTTCACTGTGTGAGGACAGCTGCCAGCACCTGTATTTCTTTGCCTGCATCCTGTCTCTTCCTGGCTTGAGCCTCTTTTTTGCTGCCCAGCAAAAAGAGGGCAGCAAAAAGATTGCCCAGACTTAACTGGGGAATCCTTCTCCCCTTTTAGTTCTGAACTAGTGACCAATAGTATTTGGTGTATAACTATCCCAAAGCTTCCCCACCCCTTAGGTGCATAGCTCAGAAATGTGTCCCAGAATCTTCCCAGTGGGATTTACTGAAGTTGCTCACAATGGTGGTTGTTCATGATAAGGGACCCTTCACTGGTTACTTCATTTCATTGCCCAATTTTTCCTGACCGACATTTCTTCCCCCTCCCTAATAAACTTTTTGCATTTTAATCTTGTTGCAAGATCTACTTCTGGGGGAATAAAAATTAAGACACCTTCTGTGACCCCTAAAGGAGCTACCTTGTCTTTTTCACATCACACCATTTTAATTCTCTGCATGGCTCTTACCACCACCATTTTCCTTGTTACTTTAGGTACAATTTATTTAAAAACATTTTTTTCCCCACTGAATTTTGAGAACTAGGAAAGCAGGGTATTTTTCTTACTTTAGTATGTCCAATAACTAAAAGAGTGCCTTCTATATTACAGGTGTTCAAGAAATGATTGATGAATAAGTGGGTAAATGATTTTACACAGAATAAAAGGACCTGATTTCAAGAATACAAATTGTAGGTTGAAACTATTCGGCTGCCCACGAATAAACACTTGACTGTGTGCTATTGAAATTTTAACTTTTATATGGAGCGCTTTGCAGAGAGCAAAAATTGTTAGCTATTCGTTTGGCCAACATATTGAGTGGCTTCTCTGTGGATTTTAGGCTAGGCTGCTTGGCTGGTGTGGCATATTAAGCAGGGCTTTAAATGAATAAAGAATAATATTTTAACTGATGTAGCTTGTTAGAAGAGGGGCCATTTCTTCTCAGGAATAGACATCAGCAATTCCCAGTGGCAGTCTTTTTTACTATTTCCTTCCCCACCACACACAGCTGTCTTCCCACTGGTGGCTCTGTTCCCCCAAACCCCAATATCCCTGTTTACTGCTTTTCTGTCTTCTTTTTCAGCACTATGAGCTGCATAAGTGCAAGAATGGATTTTTTTTTTCCATCTCTTTGTCCCCAGTTCGTTACATGTATTAGTAAATGATGAATAGATATTTTCTCACTGATATGATCTTTTGTCTCTTGGTGTGTGAGTTTACCTGTTGCATCATCATCCAGTTTTGGGAATTTTATAGGTTATTTTTATGAGCAACTAGTAGCAAATGTTGGTCACTCTAATGATACTGAATAGAATTTAGAAAAAGAATATTTGCTTTCATATTTCATTTTAAAAGATGGCTTGATGAAAATGGCTTAGAGTTTTCTTTGAAACTGCTTCTTTCTTTACAAATTAATCGCCTTCTACAACATTTCCTTTAGTTTTAGTAATTAGAATTGTTTTGAAGTAATTAGTAACCACATCCAGTCCTAGTTTTCTATATCTATTCATTGAATACAATTGAATAGTGGGGCTATTTTCTCTTTATTGTTTTTGAGCTAGTTCTCTTAAGCTATTTCTCTTAAGGCTCAAAGGCTGGAGATGTGAACGATGAGAAAGAAGCAGCCATGCCAGGACCGGAGGCAGGTGCGTCTAGGCAGAGGGGATAGGAAGCGGAAAGGCCCTGAGTGAGGACCAGGTCAGCCTGGTGAAGGAGCAGCAAGAAGGCCTGGGTGGCTGTAAGGGGATCTAGTGGGGCAGAGTGGATCAACTGGAGAGGCTAGCAAGGGGACTGATTCCGCAGCACAGCTTTGCAGATCATGAAAAGCAGTTTGGAGTATATGCTGAGAAGACTCTGGAAGATTTTGCATGGAAATAAAGCAATCTGATTTATTTAAAAAATATAATCTGGCTTTTGTGTAGAGACTATATAACGTGGGCAAGCATAAAAATCTGGAGTAAAGGGTCAATTTGGAAGTTATTAAGTAATTTAGGAAGAGAAGGTGATAACTTGTATCAGGGCAGTAGTGGTCAGGGTGAATGGAATTGCTTGGCACTTTTCTTACTGTCAGAGTAACTACGATGTATCCTTTTTCACTGTCTCATCCATTCTTTGTTTTTCTTCTTTTTTGACCCAACTTCCCAGCACTCCTCTGCTTCCTCGATCTCTTCACTGGCTCATGTGGAACACCCCCCGACCCCCAACCCAACAGCATCTCATGAAGATTTAAGCTGTGTTCACCATAATCTTCTGTAAATATTGCCTCTACCTTCTTGTATTAATTGGCTCACTTCTATTGCAGTTCATTCTCTCACCTCTCTGTAGGTAAACTTACAGTCAGAGTCATAAATGCCCAAAGATACTTCCTATCTTCCTGAAAACCATGAGTCTTTTGAGGTCTGTGCCATTTTGTCATACTAGAGGGCACTCTGCCCTTGCTCTTGATGTCATTGTAACACTTATCACACCATATGTTAATTGTATGCTACTTTCTAATATTTATAGTATATTAAAACTTGTAAGCTGGAGCTGGGTACATTTTGTCCAGGATTATATTCTCAATGCCTGCTATAGTACTTAGCATATGTTAGCCATTGAATGAATGAATGTTTCCATGTTTGGGTGGAGGAGGTTATAAAACAAAAGATTCTGTCCTTCCCAATTCAGTACACATGAACAATGTTTAGCTGAATGCATACTTTGTGCAGGAACTGAATTAGGAACCAGATATACACACACACACAGATGCACACACACACACACACACACACACACACACACACACTATGAATCCTTGTGAGATAGGCACAACACTACAGGTCCCTGTCTTCTTTGCTCCTTACAATATATTTATAAATATCCCTCATTGTAATGATTTTCATTTTCTGATTTCTCACTAGGCTAAAGATCCCTTAGTGGTGGGATTGGACCATGTTCATCACAATTTTCTCCTTACCTAATATTTGCACAATTAAGCAGTTTATTGCATCGATCACTGCACTGGGACTGTAAGGAAATACTAGTGTGTGTTTGTGTGTGTGTGTGTTGTCAGTGTGAATGAGAAGTGTGGGAATAGCTGCTGAGGAGGGAAGAATATTGACAAGGCAGCTAATATGTGGGGGAAATATCAACCAAGGAAATGCACATCAGTAGAAACAGTTATCTGTGTTTGTTTGGACATCACTTTTCTTCGTTTATACAATGGAGGGGATTTACCTAGATGAACTCAAAAGACTCTTCCAGTTCTAATAGACCATGATTTTTGCTCAGAGTGATAATATTACTCAGCTAAAAGCTTCGTTGTAAAGGTGTCATACTGAAAACATATTTCTGTGTCTTGGCTTGATCACCCAGGGGAAAAAAACCCACCCAGCATCTGTCTTTCTTATCAACCCTCTCTCTTCTCTTTCTAATTTTCTTTTTTTTCTTTTGTTTCCTTTCCTTTCTCCTTCTCCTCCTCCTTTTAGTAAACTTACAGTCACCAAGTTCTCTGGATGTCTGGAATCGCATTCTCTTAATAACCAAATACATCCCATCTCATTTGTTATGGGAAGTTCAGCACCATTCTCAGTATTTTTGAGGCTGGGGTGTGGGTAGTTTTTCTCTGATTATCTGTTGTTCTGAATACATGATGATACCTTGATTAGATTCTGATCACCACCCCTTATCTCCCTGCCACCCTTAATTTTGTAGCGTTATTTCACGCATGCGGCAGTTCCTTTCTTTTCTACTGGCACAAAGCATTTATAGATTGTAGACCTTCATTGTAGTCTTAGGGATAAATAAGGAGAAGGCTTAGCACAGCATGGGAAGAAAACAACTTAAAATTGCTTAGGAATCTTAAAATTTTTTGACTGCTCCTTTATAGAGACTGTCTTATTGGTTGTCTTATTCTTTTGGTCCAGCTTCTAGTCACATTCATAGCATTCAAGAGGTTCATTCTCAGTTAACAATCCATTTTTCATCTCCACTTCTACCTGTCTCCTCAGAGTTACAAATTTTTGTTACTTGATTATGTAGTGAAATTTAACTTTCGGTCTGTAACAACTACACTCCAGCCTACCTTGGCATATTCAAAATTGTTGATTATATTTCCCAAACAAAAGAACCATCTACCAAACCATGCACTTTTAGAACAACAGAAAAGTAGAAAAAGGTTGGCAATTATAGTTTTTATTTAGGCTTGGCCAGAGAAAATTCTTAGGCATAACTATTCCCAACCCACAGGACAAACTGCAGTGTGTGTATATGTGTGTGTGTGTGTGTGTGTGTGTGTGTGTGTGTGTGTGTGTGTGTTTTCTTTTCCTGTTAAGCTTTTCTAAACCAGAATTTGTATATTCTCAAAGTATACTTTCTTAGATCATTTTTTTCTTTTAATTAGGGACATCTGCTATTTCAGTTATTTAAAAAATTATCTTGAAACTAAAGACATTTTATTGAGGCATTGCAGAGGTTGGGAGAGAGGATCGACTTTGGAGGCAGACTCATCTTTGTTCACATCCCCATTTACCATTTATAGTATTTGGTCTGTAGTGTCAATGGCTTTCATCTGTAGAAATGGTGTTATTAACGGCTACCTCACAGAGTTGTTAAATGGAGAAAATAAGACAATGTTTAGGCAGGGGCCATTTTTCTATGTAATGCATTTCTTAGATGTAATAACAATTCAAAACAACCGGTTGATGTTAGGCTTTGTGTTGGTATGTTTTGTGTTGCTATAAAGGAATACTTGAGACTGAGTAATTCAGAAAGCAAAGGGGTTTATTTGGCTCACAGTTGTACAAGCTGCACAAGCATGGTGCTGGTATCTGCTCAGCTTCTGGTGAGGCCTTCAGGAAGCTTAAAATCATGAATTACAGAGAAAGGAGAAGGGGGAGCAGGCATGTCACATGGGGAGAGGGGAGCAAGATGGAGGGGAGGAGGCGCCAGGCTCTTTTTGATCTGGCATGAACTCATAGAGTGAGGATTCACTCATTACTGGAGGGAGGACACCAATCCATTCATGAGGGACTGACACTCATGATCCAAACCCCTCCCACTAGACCACACTTCCAAAATTAGGGATCACATTTCAACATGAGATTTAGAGGGGACAAATATACAAAGTGTATCAGGCTTGTATGTTAATAAGGACAGCTCTGTTCCTAGAGAGCTAAAATATTTTGAAATTCCAATTATGTTTCATACAGGTAACTGTCCAAATTATTACTGTCTTGTCACTATCCAAATGACTACAGGAAGTCATAGTGGATGTGAGTTACTTCAGGGGCAGGCAGCTTCTTGGTGTCCATATCCCCAGAGATGCTAAGGACATCTAGGTGAGCCATCTCTCTGGTCCTCAGCTTCTTGTATCCTCTGTGCTGGACAAAAACCAGTTAGGCAATTGCTTGAAGGGTATAGAAAATCTGATAAGCAGGTCTGATAAAGAGGATGATGAAATAAATAGGAAAAAATGCGTGTGAGAAAATTGAACCAGACTGCCACTTGGGCTGTCTGCTTTCTTTCTCTGGAGTAACTCTCCCTCTTCAGTTGGGAGTATCAGAAGACTTTCAGATAAGTTATTTGTACTGCCCCATTTCTGTATCACCAAATTCTCTACTCAGATTAAGATTATGAATTTGAGGGTCATTTAGGAAAGTTGGGGATCACCTGTATGTAAAGCGCATGCATTTTCCTGTATTCCGTTGTCAGTTTTTCTTTTTAAATTTATAGTAAGATTAGTGAGAAAACATGATTTTTAAGGCCAGCCTACTTTAAAGATAATGCTTTGCTTCACTTTATTCAGATATCCTTCTATAAATAACTATCAAGTGCAATACGTTACCAACTTGTATTGCTTATATCAGATGGAATATGTATTCGGAAAGAAGTAAACAAAACATTGTTAACATTTTTATCGATCTGAAAAGAGGACATTTAATATTGTTGGAAGCATGTTCATGCTTGGTAAGTCGTGTTGTAAAATCACTGACTTTTTGGCGTTAGCTTTATTATAGTACAATATAATTAAATATAATACCAAAAACCGTCATGAACTGTACATTCAAAGCAAGTTCTTTTTGGGAAATTGGGTGATACCATTTTTGAGAGCTTATTTTACCTTTCAAGGATGTACAGTCTAATAAATTAGTGTAAAATATTGATAAACATTTAAGGAAGCCGTCCCTGACCTTTTTGGCACCAGGGATCAGTTTCACGGAAGAGAGTTGTCCTTCAGACCAGGGGTGGGGAGAATGGTTTTAGGATGAAACTGTTCCACCTCAGATCATCAGGCATTAGAGTCTCATAAGGAGCACACAACCTATGTCCCTCGCATATGCAGTTTACAATAGGGTCCGTGTTCCTGTGAGAATCTAATGCTGCCACTGATCTGACGGGAGGCGGAGCTCAGGCAGTAATGCTCACTGGCCTGCTGCTCACCTCCTGCTGTGTGGCCCAGTTCCTAACAGGCCAAGGACTGGTACCAGTCTGCAGCCAGTGGTTGGACCCCTGATTTAAGGGACATCGTCTATGGCTATAACCTTTCTAATTCCCCGTTTCACCTTTATTTCTTCTAAAGAGATTGTGTAAGCTTTTTCACATCCTATTTGTTGCATATCTTTAGTGCTAAAATAATTGACTTCTTACAGTAAATCTCCCTAGAGTAGTTACTTGTTTGTTATGGGAGTATGGGGGAAAATGATACTGAGTGAGAATTTAATTTAAAACTTTTTTGAAATTTGTGAGAAAAGGAATAGTTATTTTTAAAGAGATATATAAGAACAACCAAATTTAAAGAGTGTTCCTGAGACAAAAATATAATGACATGTATTTAATTATGATTTGAAAATTATGTGGTAGAAGTATTTGATTTAAGCAATGTAAGCTTTGTAAAGTATTAGGTTAGTGCAAAAGTAATTGCACCAAGTAATTACTTCTTGTACTAACCTAAAGAGATCAAGATCCAAAACAAAATGCACTGAAGTATGCATCTAAAATTCAAAAAAGCATTTTTCCTCATTAATTAATTTGATCTGAAAAAATTAAAATGTCTCCTGAATGTTGAAACAGATAAGTGGTTTAGAGTATGAACCTACTTGAACATCTAATGAAAATAAAAGATTATTATTTATAGTTTATACGAAGTGGTCCTTTAGCATCCTGGAAGTTTGAAAGCTTAAAAACTTCGCATATTAGCGAATTATTCGGTTGAGTGTAACTCATGTACATTAGGTAGGTTAAAATTGGATTAAGTTAATTTGTTAAAGATTTTGCAAAATAAATATTTCACCAACCCAGAGGACAATGGATGGTAGGCACAGTGGAAATCTATAATAGGCCAAATCTAACATATTGATTCTATAATCTGTCCAATAAAATGAGTGCCTCAGTCACTGTTCAGTTCCAAGGATAAGTTCCACGTGGGGATTATTTTTCTTTAACAAGATTTTACTTACTGGTAAGGCTGTTGCTTGTGACAGGGAAAGGCTTCCACACAGTGGGAAATCATACAAATCATAACCAAGACAAATTTGTTTCCTTGAGATGGTGGTAGCTGGATAAAGCCCATCTGCCTTATCTCAGAAGTTCATAAAGGCAAAGGATAAATTTCCCATAGAACTATGAATAGTTTTTCTAGGGCTGTGTTTGGGATAGACTTGCCATGTGTGATAAAATGTGAAGTGTGACCTTTGGGACGGTTTCTAGTAATATTTTTCCCCAAAGAATCATTCAATCAGTTCCCCAATGGGTTGAGTGATGAATAGTATTTAAAAATCGATCTTGAAGGCCATCTGTCAAGAGTGGTCTCTTATTGGGCCCATACCATAGGTTGGTTTTATGGTCATGAAAACTTCCTGGAGTTTTCCTTTTTTTCTTTTAATTTGGGAGGCTATCTGTTGCACATTGAGGATGCAATTTTTCATTTTATCAAATTGATCATTAGAGGGCTTAAGGGGATATTGAGCTAAGGGCAGCTGGTTCACAGAACCTGTGGCTTTTGCAGTTACATCAGCCAAGTAATTTACCTTCTTTAGTATCAGTTTTTGAGTGTCCTGGGATTTTCATTATTGCAAAAGACTTAAGAGTTTTGGATAGTTTTTAGTAATTTAGGACATAGTAGCTGTTTTTTATCTTTTGGCCAGTAGCAGTTAGAAAACCACTTTGTTTCCAGAGTGAACCAAAATAATGTGCCACCCCAAAGGCTCAGCAGCTGTAAGTGTAGCTAAGTGCAGTCCTATTAATTGACAGTATAGGTGTTCAGAGAGAGTAGCAAGTTCTGCCTGTTGGGCAGAAGTGGCCTTGGGTAGGGAACCACTTTCGTTGGTTTCAGACAGCGAGACAACAGCATAGAGAGCTTGATATTTCCTTGAGTTATTTTGAAGGTAGGATCCATCAGTGAAACAGACAAGCTCAGCATTTGGAGTGGGGGTTTTCTATAGATCCTATCTAGGGCCTAGTAAGGTATGTGACATCTTGTCAGAAGGAAGACATAAGGTCTGGATTTATAGAGTTGTGGAAAGCAATAGTACCTTAGAAGGTCTTGTTAGAAGTGAGTCTGCTAGCAGAGAGATGCTCAGTATGAAGAGAGTAGAGTAAGACCTTAATAGGATGAGGGACATAAACAACTAATGGATAGCTCATAAT
This sequence comes from Homo sapiens, assembly GCF_000001405.40. Classification (NCBI taxonomy): domain Eukaryota; kingdom Metazoa; phylum Chordata; class Mammalia; order Primates; family Hominidae; genus Homo; species Homo sapiens. The sequence goes on along the minus strand of NC_000004.12, from coordinate 156,916,315 downwards.
TAACTCTTCAGTTGCCTTTAAGAAATTTGCAGTGGCTGTGATGGCTTGCATACAGGGTGAGAGGCCCTTTTGCAACAGGGTCTAACTGTTAGACTGTAAATATCGTAAAGGCCTCTGATTGTCTCTGTGCCTTGGGGTAAGAACCCCTAAGATCTTAGAATTTTGTTCATGAATGAAATAGGAGAAAGGAGGTTTATAATTAGGATATCCTAATTATATGAGCAGTGGGCTCAAGAAGGTTCTTCTTAATATTCCCAAAAGAGGAGTAGGCTTCTTTTGGCCATTGTAGAAGTTTGGGGTGATCAGTTTTTTAGAAAGGAATATAGAGTTAGAGCTATCACAGAGAAACTTGGAATTCATTTTCTACATATCCTGCTAATCCCAGGAACCCACAGAATTTTCTTTTGGTCATGGGGGCAGGAAAAGCCGTTGCTTCTATTCTTTGGGGATCAAGCAAAAGACTGTCTTAAATACTTGTGAGAGAGTTGGTAGCTTTTCTTATGAAACTTTGTGATTTTCTTTTCTTTTTTTAATTAAAGCAGAGTCTCACTCTGTTGCCCAGGCTGGAGTGCAGTGGCATGATCTCCACTCACTGCAACCTCTGCCGGGATTCTTCTGCCTCAACTTCCTGAGTAGCTGAGATTACAAACACGCACCACCACTCCCAGCTAATTTTTGTATTTTTAGTAGAAATGAGTTTTCACAATGTTGGCCAGGCTGGTCTCAAGCTACTGATCTCAGGTGATCAGCCTGTTTTGGCCTCCCAAAGTGCTGGGATCACTGCACCCTGCCCCCCCGCACCTTGTTTTCAAGAACTGAAAATAAAGGGACAGAGTTCAGTGGGTTCCTTGAGGATTCCCTCTTTAGTAGTTTTTTCCAATGCTAGTTGCATTTCCCCCTTTTGAGAGAAAGACACATGAGCTTTGTGGGCTTCCAGAAAATTTCAGCCAATTAGGTGGATGGGAGCCTAAGAAGCTAATAGAAACTGATGACCACCTTAGAGTTCCCTGAGTTAAAAGGCTATGAGGAGAGATTGTAAACTGTCATTGGCTGATTTGAAACCCTAACGCTTTGTATTTTGTTGTTACTCTAAGGAAAAGGAATAGAAAGCATGGTTGGAAGAAGGTTTAGATTTATAAAGTTTTGGGGATTCATTTAATGCTAGTTGCTGCATTTGGTAGTTGATAACTTTTGCAGTTTGGATCTGAAAATCTAGGACTTTAGCAGCATTTTTTTGGCCATTTTTTTGTGTGTGTGTGGTTTTGGAGAGTTGTCCCACCATATTCAGTAGGTTGGAGGTTTCCATAGTCACCCAATTTAATTGCTTGTTTTTTATTAAGATGCTAATTTACTACTCTAAACCATTAACAAAGCTAGAAATAAACAGAAGGGAAGTTTGTTAGTCAATTTTATCCAATCCTGGGTATTGTAAAGCCAGTCTGTCATAGTATTTATAGACTGGTTCCTAAATACTATCAGGTTCTTAGTGCTTTGTTGAATCTCTTTCCAGTCTGTAGTTTTGGAAATACTTCAGCAATCTGAGCATATAATTCTCTGGCTGATTTTGAGACTTTTAGAAATCACCAGGTTTTGTTTTCATTTCTTCCCCTGGGTCATGTAAAGGATGATGCCAGCTTGCTTTACTTAACCACGTTTGAACATGGCTTTCGGCTACCAACACATGGATCAACTGGTAAAGATTAGAGTAACCTAGTGGATAGGCTTTAGTAAGGAGGTTGAATTATTTGGTGAATCTGACAGGATCAGTTAAGGGATCAGTGATAACTTTGGCAATAGCCGTGAGTTCTTGTTATAGTCCAGGGAGTATAAGTAACAGAATATCCAGAACCTTTTTCAGTTTACATTTAATAAGGGTTGGATGACTGGAGGAGATTCACTAAGGGGTTCATCAAACAATGGAAGTTCAGATCCAGAAGGCTATATAGGCAGTAAGCAAGAGGGTGCCCAGTATGGCAGTGGGATGGAAGGGGTAGGGATAGGAGAAGGAGGCAACACAGAACAAGGACAAGCAGATAGAAGCACACTTGGTTCTGGTTTTGTTTTTAGAAGCTTCTGAGATCTCCCCGCCCACAACTGAGAGAGTTTTTGAGCTAATTTGGCATTGTTATCCCTTAGATTCCTGGAGTATTCACTTAGGCTATTTAATCTTTCTTTTTAGTCCTTCTGATTGTGTGCAGAGGAAAACATGTTTGGAAGATCAAAAATCCCCAATTAATTGATCATTGTAATTCCAGATCAATTCTAGTGATGTTTTTCCATCAAGAAAGAAATTTACAGGATAACCTACCATAATTTTTGTGCATAAAACCAGCAGGGATTCTAGAAGGGGATGACTCAGTACCTAATACCCTTAGAAGTCCCCATGAGTTTTCACTGAAAAGGGAAAAATCCCTTTGTCAGCAGACAGCAGCAAAGGGCACCTGATAAAAGCCTGAACCTCAACCAAGGTGAGAGGTTTGGGAGAGAGGACTCACCAACGGGGCCTGGGGCCATTAGAGAGGTGGAACATGAGGGGTCCTTGCAGGTACCATTCCTAAATCTGCTGTAGCTGTGTAATGCAGAGGAGAGGCACTTCATATCCCACTTCTGACACCACTTAATGTCACCTAAGAAGAAGCAAAAGACCAGACTGAAAAGTAGTAAGATAAGGTGTTTATTGGGGTCTTAGGAATTCTAATTCAGGAGACAGATTTGGCGCGAAGCCTCAAGAGAGGGAGGGAAATAGGGGCTTTTAAAAGGAAGCTAAAGGTGAATGCACAAGTTGTTTTGAAAGACTTATTTCTGGTAGAAGCAACTGGCTTAGTACATGATTCCGTAGTTCATTGGTTGTCACTGTTCCAGTTGCATCACTTGCAAAATTCAGCTGTTTTTCAGGATATTGTAGTCATTGCAGTTTGGCCTGGTACAAAGGTTCAGGTCCTATTTTTTTTTTCTTTTTAAAATATTTCTTGCAAGCCTGTAGGTCATGTAGGCAGTCCTTGTTAGAAGGGCTTCCCAACTCCGTTGTAGGGCTCTGTACCACCATGACACCATTTTATATATCACATTTCACAAGATATAGAAAATTTTGTTAGAAATAGCTTGCTATACTGAAGGATGGAGGTAAGGACTGGTACTGGAGAGTTTTTTTATGTATTAGTGATAGTTGATGCGAAGGGTATGTATATCTTTCAGGATGTCATTCACTCCTTGAAGAAGAAGGGGGTAACAAGAGACCAACTTTTAAGAGCCAAACATTTTGAATCTAAACATTACATCTGGGTTTTCCTGTTAGTGGATCATGAGAGACAGCCTCTCAACTGGAAGCTTATGTCCAAAATATAAGAATGGGTGTGGGTTATGTCTTAAAAGACTATAATCATAAAAATGAAGGGAAAGATACCTCTTAAAAGATTTTTTTAATCCCTCCAGCTATTTTAGCAGCATTCCTTTTATTTTATAGTCTATAATTAAAGATATTCTGGGTAGTCTGTGTTGCATCCCACCGTGAAGGACATCCAGAATCTGACTACTTGCCATGTAGAGAAAAATGTACATATTTATATAATATTTAAAGTATACTTACATATTTCTTGTGTTCCCATTTTCTCCCTTAAGATTATGATGATTCATTTTATTTAAATTGTATTTAAATCTCAAGTAGACATAGGAAACCCGCTTAATTCATAGTGGACTTCTAGAATACTGTCAGTTTCAGAACTTAGGAATACTTTTGTGGCTTTGCCCTCCACATACATTTCTCCATGTTATTTTGTTGTCTACTAGAAAGAAAGGAAGGAAGATAGGAAAGGAAGGAAGGAGGAAGTGGGAGACAGGGAAGCAAGCAGTCAGGGAAGTTTTCTAAGGACATGTGCCTCGAGAACCCTGACCACTTCCACATAATGAAAGGTTAAGAATTAATAAGCATTTGTGCATTTGAGCATGTAATATACCAGGAACTGAGTTCTTAGATATAGTAGATGCAGTGTTTGTTGAAAAAGACAAGATTTCTGTCCATGAGTTTACCAGCTTATTTCTAGTTGGTCCTCTCAGCCAAATGAAATATATGAGGTGTCTAGCTGCTCTCAATTTTGAATATATTTTTTAAGGTTTCCCTTGTTCAATCTTGATTTCCTATACAGTGCTCTAAGAAGTGAATACCCTGTTTTTGTACTAGAATATTTTTTCCTGACCTCCAGAAAAAAATCATCGTGTAAGTTCTAAACTAAATTTGCTCTCGGTTTCTGTTATTCTTTGTCTAAGTCCTAAGAAAACTTTCCTTAGTCTCTCAGATTCATACTCTAGTTTCTCTTTTTTAAATATTGAAACCTTGACCAAAGCCACTTAACTTCTGCCAAAAAATTTAGACATTCATTGTTTAACAATAATTGGCCAGCTCTCCAGTCATCATACTATCATATGTAAATCATAAACATGTCTCCACATAGGACATATAACTTTTGCTTACCAACGCATGTGCATTAATTACGTAGACTTATTTTTAATATTTCATCTGCCTTATCACTCCACTATTTAGATGTCTTTTCAGATTAATTAGCTTTGTTGTGCTTCAGGAATTAATTCTGGAATCAAACAAATGGGTTTATGTCTTATCTCTACCACTTACTAGCTCTGTCAGTTGACCAAGTTATTTAACTTCTCTATTCCTCAGAATTTTCATGTATGAAATGAGAATAATAATATAACACTTAGAGGTTTTTTCTCCACTTAAGATTTAATAAATGAAAGCAAATAATATATATAGCATAAAGTCTAGTATATATAATAAGCCCTGCACAACCTTTAACTATTATTACTGTTAATACTAGTATCATTATTTACAACACTCATCATAATACCTCAAAATACAGTATTAATTTTATGACTCTATTTCTTCTCGAAAGAGAAGGGAAATAGTTCAGTGTAGTCAAGGAATAGGGGGAATTTGTTTCCGTTTCACAATAAAAGAAAAAAACTAAGCATATGATATCCTCTATATGAGACTTTTATGTGTGTGATACATATGTATGTTTAAATGGATGTAAGAGATTTTCAAATAAAGCATAGTATTTAAGTGAGATGTAATACATTTAGGGTTCTTTAAAAATGCAATTCTTCATTGAATGTCACTCATTAACATGCAAGTTCAATTTTCCTCATGAAACCTTCTCATAAAAATTTAGAAAATATCTAGGGTTAGGCAAACAGTACTTAGATATGATCCCAAAAGCACACCCCACAAAAGGAATGACTGGTAAATTTGGCTTCATGAAAATAAAACTTTTGCTCTGTAAAACACCGCGTTAAGAGGATGAAAGGACGAGCTATGGATTTAGAAAAAAATATTTACAAACTACATATCTGACAAAGGATTTGTGTATATGATATATAAAGGACTCTCAAAACTCAACTGTAAAAACATGAACATCCTAATTCGAAAATGGATAAAAGACATGAACAGACATTACACAGAAAAGGGATCTACAGATGTCGAATGAGCCTATGAAAATATGGTGAGCATCTGCCGTTAGGTAAATGCAAATTAAAAACCACAATGAGATAGCACCACACACCTATTAGAATGGCTAGAACAAAGAAAAATGCTGGTGATGCCAAATACTGGTGAGGATGTGGAGAAAATGGATCTCCCATATGTCACTGGTGGATGTAAATGCTACAGCCGTCTCAAGAAGTAAGTTGGCAATTTTTTTTTAATAAAAGTCAATATGCATTTATCATATGATTCAGAAATTACACTCTTGGACATTTATTTCAGATAAGTGAAAGCTATGTTCTCACAAAATCTACGTATGAATTTTCATAGCAGCTTTATTTGTAAAAGCTACAAGCTAGAAAACAGCCTAAATGGCTTTCAAGAAGTGGACTGTTAAATAAACTGGTACCTTTGTGCAGTGGAATACTGCTCAGCGATTAAAAAGAGCAGTTATTGATAAATGCAGCATGGTATTTACTACAGTAATGTAATGACATTGTACTACAGTCATGAAACATGTCAACATTAGCAGAAGAGAGTGAAGGGTTTAAGGGACATTGTGCACTATTTTTGCAACTTTGTGAGTCTACAATCATTACAGAATTTTAAAAAGTTAAAAACCACAAAATATAATTGTTTTCTAGGGCTGTGGTAACAAACTGCCCCAAGCAGGGAGGCTAAAACCAACAAAAAACAATTCACAGTTCAGAATGCCAGAAATCTGAAATCCAGGTGTCTGCAGGGTGGGTTCTGTCTGCACAGTTTGAGGAAAAATTTGTTCATGACTGTCTCTAAGCTTTTGGAGGTTGTGATAGTATTTGACATTGCTTGGCTTGTAGATTGATCATTCTAGTTTTTACCTTTATTTTCTCATGATTTTCCCCCTGTGGCTCTGTTGTCAAATTTCCCTCTCCTTTCTCTTACAAGGGCACCAGATACTGGATTTAGGGTACAATGTAAATCCAAGATGCTCTTATCTCAAGATTTAACTTAAGAATCTGAAAAGACATTATTTCCAAATAAGTTCATTTTCACAGGTTCAAGGGGTTAGGACTTGGACGTATATCTTTGAGGGAATACTGTTCAGCCCACTACAGTAGTCAAGGACACAGTAAAAGAAAATCAGTGATAATTCTATTGTTCAGAGAAAACCCACTGTTAACATTGGAATGTATTTGTATGTGGATATTTGTGGAAATACATGTGTGTATACATGAGATCATATTATATCTAATGTTTTATATCTTTCCTATTTACCTTTGTTTCATAAACAGTTTTCCAGGAAAATATAGTAGTAGTTCACTGAGTGACATGTACTTATAATTATACAGATGTAAATTACACTCTCCCAAATGTGTTTGTATTTCTGGCTCACTTGTTTGGTTACTTTCTCCTCTGAAGTTTATTTTCTGGCCATAATATTTGCAATGCTAAGAGAGAATTCTGTTTGTCCCAACTTTAGAGAAGTTTAGGTAGATGAACTTGTGGAATGGCTTTTTATAAAAAGCAAATTTCACTTTATTTTAGGAATTTCTTGTCTGAATAATAGCTTTATTGAGATATAATTCACATACCATAAAATTACCCATTTAAAGTATCCAATTACATTGTTTTTAGAATACTCACAGTTGTGCAACTTTAGAATATTTTTCTCTTCTCAAACTCAGAATATTTTCATTATCTCAAAAAGTAATACTCGTTAGCTGTCACCTCCTTATTCTCTCAAATGCTGGTATTTATTCCCCCATATGCCTTATTCTCTAAGCAAATACTGATTTACTTTGTAGAAATTACCTATTCTGTACGTTTTACAAACATGAAATTGTATATGTGTGGTCTTTTGTGACTTCTCCTTTCCCTTACCATAATGTTTTCCAAGTTCATCATTTGTGGCATATGTCTGTGTTTTCTTCCTTTTTATGGCTGAATAATAGTTTCTTGTATACATATGCCACATTGTGTTCAACCATTCATTAGTTGGACATTGGATTATTTCCAACTTTTTGGGTATTATGAATAATACTCTTGCACTTGTCTGATTGTTACATAAGTCTATTGAACTATAATTTCAAGCACAAGTCATATTAAGAGATAACTGGCTTGGATGGGAATAATTAAATGTATGGTAGGTTTAGGTAGCCAGAAGTCAACACAGAATTACTGGATGGGAAAGAGGTCATTGAAAGGATTGGGTGTTTGCAGAAGCAGAGGTAAGATATCATCACAGTTCTACTAACATTTTGCCACATAGGTTATTTTGTCCAATGTTGTGATGACAATTTCCTAGTGCCAAGTTTGTTCTTTGTATTACTTAGAATAAGAAAAAATGCCATACTTCTGTTTTACTAATTGGCAGCTATTATCATTTATATAAATATTCTAATTCTAATTTGGCATTTCTAGATTGAAATAAATATTTATTTATTTATTTACACAAATGAGCATAAATAAAGGAGGTAAATTATCTAGTAAATTGCCTTTCACAAAGTATTATATATTGACACCAACTACTCTAGGTAATTAGAATAATGTGATAATGCATCATAAATCTCTTAATATTTTATTATTGATCTATTAATATTTTATTATTGCCTTAAAGCTAAGCTTTGTTTTGTTAAATGAGATATAAAGGAAAGCTGCTGCTTTTTTCTTTTTTGGAATGGAGTCTCACTCTGTCGCCCAGGCTGGAGTGCAGTGGCACGATCTCGGCTCACTGCAACCTCCGCTTCCTGGGTTCAAGTGATTCTCCTACCTCAGCCTCCCAAGTAACTGTGACTAAGGTGCATGCCGCCATGCCCAGCTAATTTTTGTATTTTTAGTAGAGACGGGGTTTCACCATATTGGCCAGGCTGGTCTTTAACTCCTGATCTTGTGATCCTCCTGCCTTGGCCTCCCAAAGTGCTGGGATTATAGATGTGAGCCACTGTACCCAGCCAAGCTGCTGCTTTTATATAACACTGGAGGAGACAGTAGGAAGGACTGGACATGTTTGGTGACCTGGAGTGTGGGGGCATCTGCTTCAGGACACAAGCCCTAGCCAGCATGGAGGCTCAATCCAAGAGGTTAGGGCCACTTCATCCCAGGTGAAGGACCCCCAGTCACAGCCAGGAATGCCTAGCACATGCCTGCTTATAGGTAACCACCACATCCATCTTGAGATGCCCACACCCAGAGGCCTGGCAAGAGCTCCACCCACCGACTGAGATTTGACACACAAGTCTGAAGGTCCCAACTCCCTCGAAGATTCTTTTCAACCATGAGGACTAGTGAGTGGGGGGCCCTCAATGTCTCTAGACATTGAGGTGAATTGAAAGATGCAAATTCAGGTGAAACAATCTTTATCTCATTCATCTTAAGAGATGAAACCCTTAAACCTTTATGTTCCCTTTCTCCAGGTGTAGATTGCTAAAGTAAACTCTTTGTATCCTTGGATTTTCTTTTGTTTGCATTTTTGGCATGCATTTTATATTATGTAATCTCACTCATTTGTTAGCAAATGTGTGTTTTATGATTAGAATTAGGTGCTAATGTAAGAAAATCTGGCTAAAAATCAACATGTATAAAAACAGTGGTTTTATTTTTTACATTACAAAGATGTGAAAGACAGGTGTCACTTAACAAGGCATGCATTTTAAACATCTCTTTAAAAGTCTATCAGTAATCTCTTTTTGGTCCATTTTTATTTTTAAGTCATGGTGGTGGTATATTCTCCTAATCTAAGATACTGGGCTCCAAGTATTTACATGTTCTGAGTAAAATAAACAGATTTCATAAACAGTAGATTGTTATTTGTTTATTAGACAAAAGTACATTTTCTTCCTGCAAGACTTAATTTCTGTTATAAAACATGTTTTGGCTGCATCCATGTTAGTTCATCAGTGTATCCATGCAAGGTGAAATGGAAGGGGCAGAGCTGAGATCCCAGCATAAGCCAGCCTTCTATTACCAGTGAGGCTTTCTTTGGAAGTGAGTGTAAAATTAAAGAATATCAGATATTATTCTAGAAATTAAGGGAAACGTATGATTAACTTTTATTAATTTTTGTTGTGACTCCCTCAGAACAATGACTAGAGTAGCCAGAAACCTAAGTCTGCAAAGAGGAAATGCTCTTGTAAGAGCAATATGAACCAGAAGTCTATTTATGCTGTAATTATATCCCAAAACTTCAAAGATAAACCTTTGTCCGTGCTCAAGATTTTTAAAAGTACATCATAAATCTTTTTTAAAACTGTCCCCCTAAGCTACCTTCCAGGAATTCTTAATTACAATGTAGTGAAAAACCAGGAAGTCAACTCCTATTACTCATCTGTCTACTCTTAAAATTATAGTTTTACATCCCATTGTATCACGTTTTACAAGTGATTATAAAAATATAGTAAATCAAAGGGTGAAAGTGATTATTCCTACTTTACACTACATAAAAGAATAAGCCAAACCACTCCTCACCATGAGCCATAAACATTCAAGAATTTTAAACAATGGAATAGAAATTGAATTTACTATATTTAACAATGGATATAATTGAAATGGAAAAAAGGGCAGAGAAAGCTTAAATTTGTCGTATTCAAAATTTATGACATTAAGAAACCTGAGCAAGCAGTATTTTTAAGTGATTTGTATTTAATTGTTTGGGTACACCGAACTTCTGAAATATTCTTGTTTTTAAAATATTCTTACTTGTTTTGAAAATTTCTGATAACTTCAGAAGTGCTAGTATGTAAAATGTGTGTTATATGTCATCTATAACATATATACATAAACATGCATATGTATAGATTATAAATGTATATCTCTGTGTATACTTACACAAGTATCTGATGAAGCATCTTTTAATACTGGGTTTCATCTGTTGCTTTTGGTCACTGACACTTTACATAACAGGCTTGTAAGCAGAGCTAGGATGTATTTTTGAGGTGATGTATCTACAGTATATTAAATGTGATATAGTACATGGCAATTATGTTGCTTTATTGTTTCAGATCTAGAATGTAGGTCTTGCGTGTAGATGTAAGCCCTTGGGTAACACAGCATAATCTTTCTAATGTAATTAAAATAAAGCTGAGCCCTTCAAACTCTAGATAGACTTACTTTGGTATCTGGGCAAATAGTGTTTCTTTGAGAATGAAGCAGTGATTAGATGCAGATATTCTGAATGGTTGACAGGAGAGAGAACTAGAGACATATTTTCTACTCCAGGTTGAACTGCTTGATAGTTTGGAAAATGTTGATCAGAAATGTATTTTAGACAGAATGTGAAGCTTTGAAATCACAGGCTTGGGTATGCATCCTGGCTCTAACACTTCAAACTCTGTGTTATTTGGGTTAACTTTATTAATCTCCTTGAGTCATGATTTCAGTTTACGCATTGCACATTATGGGCAACTATCTCATCTTTGAGAAAAAAATAAACATAAATGATTATAAATTGGCACATATAATACAAAAGTGATATTATGGTCACTATGAGGCTTTTTTTGAGAATTGAGTAAAGTCATGAATATAAAACATCAAAAACAGTGTCTGTCATATAAGGGACATTCAAAATATGGTGTCATTATTCAGTAGGTGCTCTCAGATTGCCAAACTTTTATTTGCTAAGGAATTATGATTAATTCATTCAATAGAGCTTGAAGGTTATATTTGAAATTAGTATTTATTTCTCAATCTAAGCCTATCTCAAGATGATCCCAGCTCCAGCTTCTTGATCATTTTTGTATTTCCCTTATGTGCAAGAGGCACAGAATCTGGTTTTACCAATCCCATAGTGTCCAGTGTAATGCTAAGATACAGGAATTTAAGCAAGTGTTCCATCAGCTCAAAAGATAATTTTCTTTTTAAGAGATGATCTCCAGGTAATTTTATTTTTAACATGTGCTTGTATTGAGCAAATATTTATTGGGCAAATATTATATGCCAGCAATTCAGCAGCAAACAACATATCAATTCTCTGCTGTCACTGAGCCTTACTTTGCAGTGGGGATAGGCAATCAGTAAACATTTAAGTGTAGATATGTCAGTTGGTAATGAGTGCCAAAAACAAAAATAAAGCAAGAATAAAGGGTTAGTGAACCTAAATGCACCTGTTGGCAGGTACTATTTTACCAGCCTGGGAAGGATTTGCTGAGGAGGTACATTTGAGCTTCAGGTGAGAGTAGCTAGTTGGAACAACTAATACACAAGCACAAATATACACTTGATGGTGAAATTCTCTTATATGTCTTTGTATCTACTAAGATATGTCACATAAAAATCTTAAGAGATTATTCATTCTTATTTGGATCTTGTAAATGAGGGAACTAGTGTTTCGAGCAATAGAGAAATGAAGGCTATTTTTATTATGTGAAAGATAAATTTCTATGGACAAGAGAAATAAGTGCAGGACACTTCCCAGGTGTTATTTTATTTAATGTTCAAGATGGTTTTAGAGTGTATTTAGGTATAATTAGCCCTGTTTTAACAGTGTTAGAAGCACAGTAAAATTAAGTAATTTGCCTGAAGTCAGTATTAATGACTGACCATAAAAGGCTTTTAATTATGATCTCTTTCCTTTTTCCAGCTTTTATCCATGACTTTTCACGTTAAATTAGGGCACCAGGGGATGAAAATCCAAGTCAGTTGATAAGGAACTCCGTTTTCTGTCCAATGAAAGATTCACTGATATTGCCTTATTTCCCTCATCCCATTTCAATCCCAACTTAATCCAATTTTTCTGTAAATTGTATGCTGTAATATCATTGCAAGAATATGGCACTTAGGCCCACTTTCATTTACAAAATCAATTATTGTATTTTTTGTGGTGGTTTTAAATTTACAGGGAACCTGGTTTTGGATACTAACAAGCATTCAAAGGCAGGCATCACTATGAACATTAAATCACACTAGTGAGATTAAAATTGGCCTAAAGGCCAGTACAGCTCTATCATGATCTTTGGGTCTAGAGTCTTGCTTCCTTTCCTCTTCCTGCCAAACTATAGGTAATGGTTTGTCTTCCTACACTTTGCTATATTTTAAAATTAAGCTTGAAATTAATCAAGAGATTCTACAGAATTACTCGTTTTACAGAAATGGATTGTTGGCTGGTATTTGGGAAGACACACTAATTGCACACTTGGATTTATTTTTGTTTCTGATTATTTCACTGGCAGGTATGCTGTCTTGAATTGCTATGTTTATCTTATTTTAGTTTCATTAGTCAGAATTCATTCTTTAATTATTGGATCTCTTTTATTCTTAGTATCTATTCTGAGCTTGCTATGTGTTATTTTGTAGTTTTAAATTTTAAATCATTCTTTCTAATTTTCATAGGGGAAACCATCTGCTGTGTTATTTGTTACTGTGTAATATTTGTAATATGTCTAGATGGGGAGAAGCACTTAATTTTACAGTCTTGGAACATTATAAATCCTTGTGGTCAGCTCTTTGTGCCATCACCTTTGCTTAATTTGGTCTTCTACTTGTTGTTTTCATTAAGTGCATGTTTTCCCACTAGGACTTAAATGTATACATGTATATTTTATTAATTTGTTCATTTTATTAGAAAATGTTATTGTTTAATTTGTTCTATAAATTATTTTCATAATCATATTCTCTGTATTTGTATGTAAGTTTAATATTTCATGTCACTACAAAATTAAGGTTTCTTTGAAATAACTGCCCTTTTCACTGTAATACATATGTGATCTAGTTTATACACACACACACACACACACACACACACTCTCTCTCTCTCTCTCTCTTTGTCCTTATTGGTTTTGATGTTCTTTTTCTTCATTATTAGTGTCATGAGGGTGGAATTTATTTGACATGACTTTTATGTTACTCTAAAAACTGAAACTTAGTAGCGGCTCTATCAATCGATTTTCAGAAGCTAGATATTTTATTTATCCAATAAATAATTATCAAGTGCCTGTTTTTTTGCTCCGCATAGTTGAAGATCAAGAATTTTACAGGGACGTAAAAAAGAAAGAAATATTGAGTGCTAATGTGCTAATGCTAGGAAAAATATTTCAGGCAGAGCAATCAAATGAACCAAAGCTAAACATCTGTGCCACATGAATATTTAAGTTCCACATGTGGTTGGTTTGGCTGGGGTATAGAATGCAATGGGTTGTTAACCACCGGTTCATCAATAGGAAATTGTATGAGTAAACTGTGGTAAATTTGTACAAAATACTATTCAGTAATGATAAAAATATTTTAATTACTTTTTACACAAAGTAAACATAATATTAAAGTTATTAAAAAGTTAATTGCATGTGATTCTTATAGTTTCATAGAATTTATGTAACATGTGGAAACATGGAAAGCAATAAGGTATATTGTTTATGAATGTACACATGTTAGAGTTAACATAAAAACATGCAATACATGATTAAAACGAGATTCAAGACAAAAGTTACCTCTGAGGAGGTAAGGAGGGATACAGGATTGTGAAAGGAAACAGGGTCTTCAACTGTGACTTTATGTTAGTTTCATTTTAAAATTCTGAAGCAAATTTGACAGAATATTAAGACTCATTAAATCTGGGTAGTAGATACCAGTGTTTATTAGAATCTTTTCTGAACTTTTCTATTTGTTTGAAATATTTGATGACAAAAATCACAAATATATTTTATAACAAGATATGTAGAAGACAGCGGTTAAAAATAAGCTCAATAAGTAGTCAGGAGTCAGATTGCAAAGTATCTTCTGTGTAGCCTGCTAGGTTTTTGGATTTCCTGTATAAGCATATTTACTATTTTGGTCTTCATTACTCATCTTTATGTGGAGGACTCCAAAATCATTCAGCTCAACCCAACCCATCCTGCTCCTCTGAATGTCAGATTTCTCTGTCCTACTTCCCTTATCCTGGCATCGCTGTCAATGTAGCATGCTCAAAGCTAGACATGTTATACCTTAATCTACATACCTGGCCAGGCTCCGTGGCTCATGCCTATAATTCCAGAACTTTGGGAGGCCGAGGCGGGCAGATCACTTGAGGCAAGGAGTTTGAGACCAGCCTGCCAACATGACAAAACCCTGTCTCTACTGAAAATGGGATAATTAGCCCAGGGTGGTGGTACACCGAGCTCCTCAGGAGGCCGAGGCACGAGAATCACCTGACCCCAGGAGGCGGAGGTTGCAGTGAGCTGAGATCGTGCCACTGGCACTCCAGCCTGGACAACAGAGCAGGACTCTGTCTTAGAAAAATAAAAAGTAAAATAATAATAATAATAATAATAATAATGAAATAGATACCCGGCCATTGCCCTGCTCTCTCTCTCTCGCTACCAATATATAAGAAATAGGTAGGCGTTGTTCTCCAACTTCTTATTTCATTTCCCATTGCTGTATGTCATGTACTCTGTGACCATCCTTGCCTGCATTACTTGAGTCAGTCATTCTTTCCTGGTCTCCCTCTGTGTCCCTGATGGTATCCCTGACTTGGACTTACCCTCTTCATATTAATCCTTCACATGCTTTCTAGGGAGCTTCGTTAAAAGCCAATCTGACGTTTACATGTGCTTGCTCCTTGCTGAGAAACTTCTCATGACTCCTCAGTATCTCTAGGAGCATTTGTAGAATTCGTGGGTGTCTCAATATCAAAGCCACCCATGGTCAATTTAAAAGATGTGGATTCCCTCATATGGATACTGATCTGATGAAATGGAATCTCTATGGGTGGGTCTCAGATCAGTATTTTTAAGAAACATACCAAAGGATTTATGTGCATGATACAATTTGAGAACCATCAATCTAGCAGAGAAAATACAAGCTCTTTTGCTGAGTATGGTAAGCTTACTCTTCACTTTTCAGTTTCATCTTTTGCATTCTCTCTTTTGTACACTCACTTCTCTGCCCTCTTCTCTTTTTTTCTTCCTCCCTCCCTCACTTCCTCCCTCCCTCCCTCCCTCACTTCCTCTCTCCCTCCCTCCCTTCCTCCCTCCTTCCCTCCTTTCCTCCCTCCTTCCTTCATCCTTGCTTCGTTCCTTCCTTTCATTCCTTTTTGAGACAGGGTCTCTCTCTGTCACTCAGGCTGGAGTGCAGTGGCAGGATCTCTGCTCACTGCAACCTCAACCTCCCAGGCTGAAGCCATCCTCCCACCTCAGCCTTCTGAGTATCTGGCATGTGCTACCATGCCCAGCTAATTTTTAAAATATTTTTTGTAGAGATGATGTTTTGCCATGTTGCCCTTGCTGGTTTTGAACTCCTGGGCTCAAGCAATCCACCCATCTCAGCCTCCCGAAGTGCTGGGATTACAGGTGTGAGCCACCCCACCCGCTTCCTATCCTCTTCTTTAACTAGTTCGTTCTTGTTCATCATTTAAGACTGAATACAGCAGCATTTAATCTCACAGGCTTACCTATTACTTCTCTGACTCCACCCATTATGTCTGTTACTCTACGTGTCCTAGTTTTGCTGCCCATTCCTTCGTTTAAATGATCATGATTCCCAGGTTAGGAGATTCTTGTTTACACAACATGTATCAAGGTAACTGGCATGTGGTGGACCTTTTAAAAAGTTCATTAAATGCATGGCATTGCTCTTTAGAGGACAGGGAACCAACTAAGGATTTTGAGCCTGGATTTTAGGTGTGACATTCAGGAATTTCGGGAAAAAGAGAGAATTAAAACTGGAGATGGTGAATTCTAGTAAGAATTCATAAAATTAGATATTTAGTTGATCAAGATTGGAGATTGGGATTAGTTGAAAGTAGAGATGACTGGGTAGATGAGGAGGATGAGACTTTAAGTTTCACATATCTTTGATTCAAGTTTTCTGTTTATTACTTTAATATAGATGAATAATATTTATTTAGAGATGCAGGTCATGATCTTAGTTTATAAATGAATTATGATAAGTCAGATTACCAGAAGAGTAGAAGGTTTCAGAGGGAGAGAGTGCTCAGCTATGCCTGGTTCTGCAGAAAGGTCTACTAAAATAAGGACTGAAAATTATCTTTTGGATTTTGCAATTAGGATGTCAGTAGATGCCATAAGAAAAATAATTTTAATGAATTAATTTTTTGAGATGGAGTCTCACTCTGTCACCCAGGCTGGAGTGCAATGGCACAATCTCAGCTCACTGTAACCTCCACCTGCTGGGCTCAAGCAATCCTCCTGCCTCAGCCTCCCTAGTAGCTGGGATTACAGGTGTGTGCCACCAACCTCCGCTAACTTTTGTGTTTTTAGTAGAGACGAGGTTTCACCATGTTGGCCAGGCTGGTCTCAAACTCCTGACCTCAAGTGACCCATCTGCCTTGGCCTTCCAAAGTGCTGGGATTACAGGTGTGAGCCACCACACCCAAGCTAATTTTAATTTATTAAATAAAAGTTAAGAATAGAAGTCATCGGAGTTAGTAAGTGAATGGTCCATGAAGACATATTCACAATGAGAAGAAACTCTGTGTTTAAGAAGCTTGAAACAAGAACAGCAGGACAGTAAGGCAATATCGTCATCCCTTAGGATCTGTGACTCCCATGGATACCAAAATCCAAGGTTGCTCAAGTCCCTGCTATAAAATGGTCTAATATTTTAATATAACCTACACATATTATCCTGTACACTTCACATGATTACTTGTAATACCTGATACAATCCTACACACCATTTTGTGGATTCAGTATAGTACTGGGTACGAGACAATTTCAAGTTTTGCATTTTGGAACTTTTAATTTTTCTGAATATTTTCAATCTGTGGTTGGTTGAATCCACAAATGTGGAACCCATGGATATGGAGGGCCAATTATACTATATTTTACTGGTTTTGTTTTGTTTTAATTATATGTGTAACCTGAACATGTGTAAATGCCAAAGAGATGGAAAACCTGGAAAAAGAAAAGTTCCTTAAGAACCTTGCTACATTTTTGGTATTAAGAAGAATGGGGCTGGGCTCAGTGACTCATGCCTGTAATCCCAGCACACTGGGAGACCAAGGCAGGTGGATCACTTGAGCTCAGGTGATCAAGACCAGCCTAGAAAACATGTGAAACCCCATCTCTACAAAATATAGAAAAATTAGCCAGGTGTAGTAGCGCACACCTGTAGTCCTAGCTACTCTGGGGGAGGCAGGAGGATTTCTTTGGCCCAAGAGAAGTTGAGGCTGCAGTGGCCTGTGTTTGTGCCAGTGCACGCCAGGCTGGGTGACAGAGCTAGACCCTGTCTGAAAAAAAGAGCAAAAGAAAAGAAAAAAGAAAAAAAAATGGAAGCTTCTATTATCCTGAGCATAAGAAGAGGAAATTTAAGTTGCGTAAGAGGACAAATGCCTCTTCCTCTGGAACAAAAATGACAGAGCAAACACAAGTTGCAGTTGCAGATTGTACTTGTGAAGAAGTGAAAGTGAGAGGGCTGGGAGGATAGATCTGGAAGGCTTGTCCATACCAAACTCATTTATTTTATTCTCACTTATAGGCATTTGTCAATACCTATCACTTCAGTAGTTATTAGTTATCACTTCCAATAGTGTGTTTAACTTGTTTTTTTCCTTAGTCTGTTCGAGGTGCTATAACAAACTACCATAGAAAGGGTGGCTTATACACAACAGATTTCTATTTCTCATGGTTCTTGAGGCTGGGAAGTCCAAGATTGAGGTGCTGGCAGATTCGGTGTCTGGTGAGGGCCCACTTCTCAGTTCATTGATGACCATCTTCTTCCTCACATAGTGGAAGAGGCAAGTGAGCTCTCTGGGTTTCTTTTATTCAGACATTAATTGCCTTCATGAGGCCTCCACCTTCATGACCTAATTGTTCCCAAAGGCCTCACCTCCAAATGCCATCACATTGGGGATTAGGTCTCAAGATATACGTGTTGGGAGGACACAACATTCAGTCTATAGAATTCTGCCTCTACTACTCCAGTTCATCTTCTTACATGCAAAATACATGGTTTTTGAGATTACACAGAGCTTCATATCATCCATCTCATGCAGACGGACAGCTTTATGGTGTGAAGCTCATGATTTTGTTTTGTTGTAAAGCTACTACCATCATTAGTTACTTATGTTCTTAGTTATAATGAAGAGTTAAAGGGGCTCTCTTCAGAGTGTAACTTTTTATGTGTTTTATTCATTAGCGAGTATCTTCCGTTTGTCGATTGAGTTGCTCATAGGAATCTCTAAAAGTTGAAATAATTTCAGTTATCAGTAACATGTAGACATAAAAATGCTAATGTCTGTTAATGTAGATATTGATTACAAACTTTCTCAAAGTCTATGTAGGTTTAACATTTAGTTGACTCATTTTCTCCTACTTCAATTCATTTTTAATGTAGAAAAAAATATATATAATTTTGCATCAGCCTCTGTCCTGATAGGAAAGGTGGGCTCACCCAGTCAGTTTAATGTGAGCAAAGAATCACATGATTTCAGGGCCAGAAAGTGTATGTGTAGAGAGAGGGAGGGCAGAATGAAAATTTAAAAATGGTTAACCTAAAGTGTGTTGAGTTCGAAATAATGCTTTTGACACACACACACACACACACACACACACACACATACACTCTCACACACTCTCTCATATTCTCTCTCTCTGTCTGCCTGTGTGTGTGTGTGTGTATTTATTTATATAGTTAATTCAAGCAAATTCTTTTGTTGAATTATTAAAGAAAACCCAACTTTAAAATTACTAAAAAAGTGAGACTTACTTATTTTTTAGTCAAATGTCTCTCTGTTTACCTTAATAAAACCTGAAGAATTAACCTTACTGCCTCTTCATCCCCAAATAAGTTTTCTCTCCTACTTCCTATTTTACATAGAAGTATGTACATTTTAAGATTTCTTTATTACTGCAAAGAGGTATCGACTGGGCTCCTTTAATGTGCGTATTAAATTATTCTTCTCATAAAGTGAGTGAGATCATTTCTGCCAAAAGTGATGCCATCATTTTAACAGATGGTCAATAGACACATTGTTAGTCTCTTTTTGGATCAATTTCAAATCTTGAGAGAATACTTGCTTCTAAAACAAAAAGGGTCTATTTCCAGATGTGGTACTTAGTGATATTTAGCTTCCATGGTTTTCTCATGAAGTGTCTTTTAGTGGCCGCCTATATTTTCATGGGTTCCTGTGCCTGAATGGCTGAATAACTTCCTACCCTCTATCCCCTTTAGTTGCCATAGTAACTTGCTGTTCAAATAACACAGTGGTATCTGCACAGTTTCCTCTCTATTTTCACCTCTTAATGCACTTTTAATGTGTTATGTATGACTTTTCTAAATATGTAACTGAAATTTTGATTGTCCATCTTAAATATTGTGTCAACTCTTTAAGTAAAATTTGCCCAGTTTAAATTGGGATTAAAGGTGTTCTGGGTATGTTGAAAGTCATAGCTATGATACAGGGCTGGAGGAATCCTTGTCAGGTGGCATTTCTCTTTTCAGTCTAACCTTTAAAGCTGTGTCTTGACCAGGAGCATGTAAAACTCCTATATTCCTAGGTTTTTCAGCTGTAAAGTCAAGATACCACACACCTGTCAGGGTTGTTTTGAAGAATAAATGGGAATGGACTTATGAAAGCATCTAGCACTCTTCCAGTCATAGGCCAGTTACTCATAAACATTGGTGGAGAGTTGTTAATCCTCAAAAACTTCCTCAAAACAACAGTGATTTTTATATCTAACCTTAGGCATTATAATTATTAATTTATTTTGAATTAACCTAATAAGGATTAAATTATACTCTATATGTTTCTGAATTATGTATTTGGTAAAGAGGTACATTATGTTTGATGTGTTGATCACTTTAATTAATATTTAATTAACCAGAATTCTTTAATCCTGATATCATTTTTATTATTCATTTTCTTTGTAGTCTGTAATTAAAATGATATAATCATTTCCAGTCTTACTTAATTTTTTTGGAGATTTAACTAAATTACCTTCTTTTGATTCAGTCAAATGAAAGTGGCTTAAGTATTTTTTAGCACCATTAATGTTAAATATGTTAATCATGTTTGCTTTTCCAGTAAATCAACACTCAGCTACTCTCACTGTAACTTTCCTGTTTTGGCATTTCATTCTTAACTGTTCACTTACTCTCTCTTTTTCCTGTGTGACCCGTGTCTCATATTTTTGTTTAAAACCACTTATGTATTTTATATATATGTTATATACAGGTATACTCACATATACATAGATTTTTTCATCTCTTTGAGGACTAAAGGTAGAATTTATTACTTTCAGAAACTCTGATGGCACCCACTTTTTTTTTTTTTTCTGAGACAGAGTCTTGCTCTGTCGCCCAGGCTGGAGTGCAGTGGCACGATCTCAGCTTACTGCAACCTCTGCCTCCCGGGTTCAAGCAATTCTCCTGCCTCAGCCTCCTGAGTAGCTGGGATTACAGGCACCCACCACAACACCCGGCTAATTTTTGTATTTTCAGTAGAGATGGGGTTTACCATGTTGGCCAGGCTGATCTTGAACTCCTGACCTAGTGATTTGCCCACCTCAGCCTCCCAAAGTGCTGGGATTACAGGTATGAGCCACTGCTCCCAGCTGACACCCACTCATTTTCTATTGATTTGCTATCCCAACTTTTATATAAAAGTATTTAAATTTTTGTATATCATATAGAATTTGTGTGTTAACATTATGATTTTATTTAGAAATAGAAGACCTTGAGAACTAAGTGAACAGTCCATGCTGATTTGGTCTGTCATTGCCCCTTATTAATAGTATAGCTCCCATTTACTGTCAAAAGGATGTCTGAACAGTAACTTACATAGTCATCCTGTGGGCCCTCCCCTTTAGGATGCATATAGTAGTAGCTTCTGTGAGAGGAACAGGAGAAGTGTGATATGTTATCTGAACTCAAATAATTTCTACTGTCTTACAAACCTGAGAGTAACAAATATAAAATGGACACTTCATAGTTGGATTTAATTATATACTCATTTGCATGCAGAATTAGTAAAATACATTTCCAGGGGCTGTGAAAATCCTGAGGGTCATAATAACTAGAGATTCTTCAAAGAATGTGGGAATGGATCCAAATCTACAAAAAATTGATGGAACCTAAATCTGAATCAAATGGACTAAAATGAGTGCTGAGCCTTTTTTTTGGTTTTTGTTCATTTTGTTGTTACCTTTTTAGAGAAATTCTGTCTTCTGACTTTTTAACTATAGAGTTCTTTCAATTTCCTATGCAGTGGAATCCCAATTATTCTGCAGCCTCATGCTGTCAATTTTATCTTCTATTTAACATATTTCCTGTTGTGCTGTCTGCCTCTGAACTAGAGGATTAATCAGTATTGAATACATAATTTTTGAGTTTGAAATATTGCTATATATTTTGCTCGGATTAATTGCATTATTGCTGAATTTTTAAAATTGTATTATAAACTCCTATTGTATGCATTATAGTAGTGATGGTATTAACCTTGCTGTAATGGATTATTCATAATGAACAATACTATGATGCAATGCTGAAATGGTATATGACATATTTATGGAGAGAGACTTAAATGCTAGTCTATAGCATGAATCTGGGGGAGAACTGGATAATAAAATTGCCCAGTTAGGAAGTTAGAATGATAATCTAGATGATAAAATCCTACATTATGTATTTAGACTATAATTAGGCTATTTGTTTCTGAAAAGGTTTTGAACTGTCCAGTAAAAAGTCAAGATTACTAAGATAAAATATAGTTAATCAAAACTCTAAAGGGGGATGGTTAATACACTTAAATTGTTGCTAATATACTTACAGTGATGAAGTAATAAATTTAGGCATGGATATATTTTTAGCCATGGAATAATGAATGTGAATAGCTGATCAATTAGTATAACCATTATTTTGAGGCACCTGATACTTATCAGTCACCTTGGAAGATGTCAGGGATGAAAGGTGAATGATACATGGTTGTGAACTACAGGAAACACACAGTCTAAGGAGAGGCTTCAAATTCTAGTTGTGTGAGAGAAGAAAACTAATAAAGAGAAAAAAATTATGTAACCTTTGGCATGCTTTTTGTGGATGACTTTAACATATAATGTGTGTTTATGTATAATATGTCTATAAAATTCGTATTTTCTAAGATAAAGTTTTGAATTTCTAAATTATAATTATTTTGATTGCCCCTTCAGTTTCTTAGTGTGTGTCATTGCTGGTCAATGAAGCATACTAACAGACCAATCTGAGCAGTAATTGTCCTTGCATAAGCAAGATTTTTTTTTTTTTTGATGGTAATGAGTGATTTCAAAAATACGTTTAGGCTGGGTATGGTGGTTCTTGCCTGTAATCCCAGCAACTTTGGGAGGCCAAGGTAGGAGGATCACTCGAGGCCAGGAGTTCATGACCGTCCTGGTCAACAGAGTAAGACCTCGTCTCTGCAAAACAAAATAAAATAAAATAAAATAAAAAACTTAAAAAATCATGCACCTATAGTCCCAACTGCTCAAGAAGCTGAGGTGAGATTGCTTGAGGCCAGGAGTTAGAGGCTGCAGTGTGTGATTGCCCACTGCATTCCAGCCTAGGTGACAGACCAAGACCCTGTCTTAAAAAAAAAAAAAATCTAGTTAGAGCATTTTTTACTTGTTGCGTCTATATGGTCTGTCTTACCATAGATCACCTGAACGAAGTTAAAATATGTATTGCTACTACTTAATGTAATAAAGAGAATAGCTCTTCTTACATTAATGAAACTAGGCTTTCTTCATACCTTAACCTTCCTTTTTTTCATTAAAATTCTCTTGGTGACTCACAGAAAATTTAAAAAGAATTATGACAAATACTGTTAGTCTGTTTCCAAATAGAGGATATTGCAATGTCAAATATAAGGGGTAGATCATTGAGAAGGGATTTTATAAGGTCCTGGTTAAGACTTGTCTGGTGGTATGTAATAAATCTGTGTGGTAGGGGTGGATAGTGAGGACCTTGTCAGACATCTGCCAGCTATCTACATAGTTTCACTCCAGTGCACTTAATAGGAAGGTCAAGTCCTCTAAAATACCAGCAAGTACCCAGATGTTAAAGCCTAGAATCTTGCCTTGGACGTTTGACGTAAGAAGTATAACAGCTTTAGTGATAACTATTGAGTGCTTCAACTGCAGCAAATGATACTGTGGTTCAACATGCTTATGCAGTTCAATTTATGTCATCAGCTGTAGAGAAATTATAAATCCAACCAAAATCCTTTGCCTGAATGGTTCTTTTATGGAATTCCTCTAGTAAGGCATGTTTAAGTTTCTATTTATTTTAAATTTATTATATGTTTATAGTTTTGTTTTCTCTAACTTTTCCCACCATAATAATCCTTTGGGATTTTTATATCCTTTTTTTGGATTTCCATTTCACCATTCATCAAAGATTAGGACAGCATTCTGTTATGATTTATGTTTCATTTCTATTTGAGAGTTGTGGTAAAAGAAATGGTGGTACCATCAGGAAATGAAAAAAATAATAATTAAAAGTGGCAACAACAAAAATAAATAATAAATCTTAACTAAGAATGTTTCTGGGGAAGAAACCATTAATTTTGCTTTTGATGTATTGAGTTTTAGTTGCTATCAGGATTTCCAAGCTGAGTAGAGAAGCATGTATCAGTTTTGTTAATTATGCTTTAATTAATGTATAACCTACTGAAGAAAACTCACTGTGATTATTGCAACAATATCTGCCACTATTGGTTCCCAGCATTTACTGGTGCTTTATTTATACTTTTTATTTGTTTTATGAGGTAGGTGTTATTTTCCCTCATTTTATAAAAATTAGGTATTTTAATTGATTCGGATTATATAGCTGGTAGAGCTAGCATTTGAACCCAGTCAGGACTATGTTTAGAGCTTACACAAGGCTTCTCCTTGACCTGAAGCCTGTGGCTCAGTAAATGCTGGTTTGATACACAACCAGCACGTACTTCATGTCTAGAATACTGTATTCATTGTTATCATGGCATTTTGAATAAGAGTACTAGTTTGGGTTTATGTTCCAGTTATTCAGTTATAAAACTCTTTAATGTACATTGACACCCATGGCAAGTTTCTTTTTAGGGGGAATGATCACTTGTAATCAAAGCTTTACCTTTGGCATTATGAATGGTGAATTATTCTACTATAAAGCCAGCTACCTGTAGTCACCACTATGTCTTAGGACACATATTAAAGCGAGGAGAAAGGTTTATATTGTTCAGCTGAATCTGTACTTAATGTTATTTATCTGAACACTGTAAAAGTTTGCTGAAAGGTTAATCTGAGGTTATTTCAATTTGTCTTTTCTTACTGGCAAGGTGGAAAACACTGTTTCTCAAAGCACTTCCTAAGACTTTCAGGATAATGTCCTCAGCGATGCCAAACCTCACTGAAAAGGATTTGAATGTAAACTCCAATAGAGAATCATGCTAGTCTTAAAAATTTTACCCTGTTCTTATAATCTCCTGAAACACTTTGTAAATTAAATTTAGTTCACATTTTTACCAAAAATCTTGTGCGTGTAGAGGCACATGCTGCAAAACAACATTTTGGTCAACAACAAACTGCATATACATATGAAGATGGTCCCATAGGATAATAACACTGTATTTTTCCTTTTTTTTTTTTTTTTTTTTTTTTTTTTTTTTTTTTTTTTTTTTTTGAGACGGAGTCTCGCTCTGTCGCCCAGGCTGGAGTGCAGTGGCGGGATCTCGGCTCACTGCAAGCTCCGCCTCCCGGGTTCACGCATTTTTCCTTTTTTTTATGTTTAGATGTGTTTAATTACATAAATACTTACCTTTGTATTACAGTTGCCTACAGTATTTAGTTTAGTAACATGCTGTACAGGTTTGTAGCCAAAAAGCAATAGGCTATACCATAATAGTGCAGGTGTGTAGAAGGCTTTTACATAAAGGTTTTATGACCTGTATGATGTTCACACAACAACAAAATTGCCTAGTGGTGCATTTACTATAACATATCCCATCCTTAAGGGACACGTGAATGTATATACACACACACACATATACACATATTACCAAATGGATACATACATGGTTACCTACAGAAAAATTTAAACTTTGAAATAATACTCTTAGGGAATGTTACCTTTTTAAAAGATATTCTTTAAATTTATATTTGCTATTATGTTGCCTTACCAATATTCACATGTAACATTGCACATTTCACTAAGGGATTTTTTATATTAGCATTTTAGTCAGCACATTTGTTGTCTGTTTACCCTGTGTTATGAGTTAGGTAAAAAGAGATCTTGTTCCTGCTTTAAAGAGATCTCAGTTTAGTGACAGATAAGTAAACCAACCAAAGAGGGTGCATGAACCCCGGTAGCCTGGGTAGGAAGAAGCTTTCACTCTCAGTAGTTAAGGTGATGATGGGATGGAGGACTGTTCAGGAAAGACTGGTCAGAAAAGCTCAGACTTGTCTAAGTATGGAAGGGTGGGAGGAATGAGTTAGGTGGGAAAGGGCATTCGAAACAGAGACGGCAGCGCGTGCCAAGTGCTGAAGCAGCATAGCCTGGCATGAGGAGGTACACAGTAATTTGACTCAGCTGGAATGATGGGTGCAGGGGGCGGATCCTCATTTTCAGACTCACAAGACCTCAAAGCTAAAGAAGGAACATGCTGTTTTTTTGCAGTGGACAAATCCCTGCCATTCTGCTTGCCACTTTCTGGATGAATGCTCAGGCATCTCTTCCTTTCTGATTACATCCCTGGCTGCTTTTCTATGCCACTCCATGGATTACTGCTTCAAGTTTATACCCCCTTCCCATATGATACAGTCACCTCACTTGACACATGTAGGTTCCAGACCAGTGCCCTCCCTTTCTGTAACCTCATGAACTAACAAGGTGTAGATATTTAATACATATTAACCTGGATGATAGCATGTATTAACTCAGAGGAGCTGCTTACTTATAAATAAGTAAAAGAGTTAAAAAATAATCGTCAATGAGTCAATCAAATAAGTTACCACATAGCTTTCCCCCCAATAAACCAACACTTGGACCATTCAACATTTTTTTATTCACTATGCATGCAGCTTTAGCTATGACTAAACTTTTACAAATAAGACTTGCAGGGTTACCATTTAGACGTAACATGCACTAGATTCCATTCATGGAGGAAACCAGTTGGCTGCTGTTGGAGATTGGGCAACCGACAAGATTAGAAAAAAAACCAAAACCAAAACAATGCCTGTTAGCTTCAGATCTCCTTTTAGTTTTGGAGTTTGCTGTATTAAACTGTTCCATTACACTTTGTAGAATTGTGTGGAGTGGAGTTCTGTTGATCTAAGAGCTTAATACCCATGACAAAAAGGTTCAAGTTTTGTATGTGAACTCCTACTTACAGTATTGTCATCATAGACATGAAGAATGTTAAGAAACGCAGTATGGCAATTAAGAGCACTAACCTTGAAGGTGACCCAAATTGGAATCCCAGTTTTAATTCTTGGCCAAATATTTTAACTGTACTAATTCAAAGTTTTCCTGCATGTGTCATGGCAATAATTTCTGTTCTTTTTCATTAACCTTGGGAAATTATTAATATGAAGATTACGTGACATCTTATTTTTGTATGTATCCTAGAAAGTATAAAATGTGATATGAATTAAGTTGGTATTAATAGAAAGGTATAATGTTCAGGGAAAATATCAGACCTGTATGTGAGATTTTGTAATCACCACTGGGTATTTGAGTAGAAGAAAACATGAGAAAAAAATAATAATGTGCATAGTGTTAAGAAATCATGGCTGAGAAGAAGGTAGGCCTCTGTCTGGGCAAGAAAACTAGGTTTTTGAAGATAATAGCTTTGAGTGAAAAATGAGAGATTTGTAATCATCCAGAATAATGGTGTCTGAATTCTTCAGCACGTGGTAGTAGACACACGACGTGTTTGTTGTCTCAGAATTCTGAGGGCAATTCACAAAGAAATTGTTACAAACCATGAATCATTACACAACATTAGAATACCTCAAAAGAGTGAGTAACTCAAAGCTCTTAACAGATCTTGAGAAACTTGAAATAATAGGCATGTTTTTCTTGGGTGAGCAATCTCTCTAATTATGTGAGAGTTGTGTGTGCCCTTTCCTGCTCCACCATATTATGAATGTTTAGTGTAGAGAATTACTGAAGGTTTGCACACCAATTGGTAAAAAATGCAAAAATTACCAGTAGTAAATATACAAGATTGTTTGGGTAGGGGCAGGGACATTGGAGAAAAAATGAAAGACTAAGAAAAAAGTGATGTGAATTTTAGAAAAACACAAAGATTAAGCAAGGTTGAGTGTTTTGAGAGGAAATCAAAGCAACAGGTAAAAGAAACCAGTAACACAGTTAGTTGACTTTTTTAAACTGAGAGATTTCTCAAGAAAGATTTCTTGATAATAGAGTAAGAAAGAAACATCCTGTGATGGGGATGTTCTTTACAGAATATTTTGATCTCCAATTTAATTTTATGTCTGAATTTATAATCAGAAAAGGTCTTGTTTCCTTATGGTTTCATCAAACTAAATTAAATTGTAATTGCTCAGATGGTATAAATATGTGCACAAAGTTGATTATTGAACATTGTATAGTGGCCAGTTGGCTAATTGTAACTCTAAATGACACCATAATATGAAGTTTTGTTTTTATTTATATTGTTCTCTAAATACCAGGGTGAGTATGATGTTTCTGATAAGTGCATAAAGAAAACATGAACTTATAACTGGAGCAATAGGGCAAGGCTGCATCTTTATTACTTAACTCTCCAGTTGTAAAAACAAGTACTACGGTTGACAAGACACCTCTCCATGGGTACCTCCGTAATTGTCATAAATTTAAATTTATTGTAATGTTTTAGACCTGTTTGAACTGTAGTACACAGCCCATTATAACCATGTTTGAATTATATTTATCAATCTTTTTTTTTTTTTTTTTTAAGACGGGGTTTCACTCTGTTGCCCAGGCTGGAGTGCAGTGGCAGGATCTCAGCTCACTGCAGCCTCAACCTCCTGGGCTCAAGCGATTCTCCCACCTCAGCCTCCCAAGTACCTGGGACTGCAGGCACATGCCACCACTCCTGGCTAGTATTTTTTGCAGATTTTCACAGAGACAGATTTTCGCCATGTTGCACTCTTGAGCTCAAGTGTTCGGCCCACCTCAGCCTCCCAAAGTGAGGGGTTATAGGCCTGTGGCACTACACCCAGAAGACAATAAAATATTTTTTAAAAGTGGATTATTTGTAAGGGAGATATCTATTAGAAAGCTTTTTGAACTATTCACGGAATAAGTTTCAATTTTCTATTTTTTCCTACTAGTTTAATATTGAATAAAAATGTATACATTATTCTTCTCCTGGTATCAATCAACCTGGACTCCTACATTTTCTTTGCTAATGATTGATTTCTTTTTTGGAATGATACGATTACTTTTGTGACATTGTCACTTAAACAATTACTAAGAAAAAGTTAAAATATATGACCTCAGGTAGACTCTTAATTTTCATATTTAATGAAAACATGCATAACCAGTTCTTACTCCCCAAAAATATGTAAAATTACAAATGAAAATGGCATGATGACATTAAAATGAGCAGCTTTGTATATTTTCTGCCTTGTTACTAAACAGCAGAGATAAAGGAAGTCTCCTTATCAAGTTAACAGAATTTAAATAATCTATGTAGATAATTATTATAAATTATTTGTTAATGTAAATCAGGTTTTTAGACCTATAGTAAGCTGTGATGCTATGATATAACATCCTGAATGATGTTGATTCATTTTTACATCTTAATGAAGTATCATCTTCATTAGAATATTTGAATATAGAAATGTTTCTTTTTCATTTTTAGAAATAACTTTGTTAATAGTGGCTCATATGGCTTTGTTTTAGGATGTGTATTATGTGTGAATACATACAAAAATTCTAATAAAATATCCTAACATCAGTTAAGATACTTCTAGCCACAGGTAAGAAAAGACACAAATCATAGCTTAAATATTGTTTATTGTCTCATATAATAAGATGTCTATAGTTAGCACAGTTTCAGGGTTAATTCAAGGGCTCAGTGGCATCATCACCAGGTTAGTTAAATCTTTTATTTTTTCCTGTCATCCTCAGCCTGTGAACTTCAGACAGTAGGCCTGTTCCAGCATCACCTCCTCACATAGTTGTGTCCAGATATAGAAATGGGAAGCTTCTCCACAACCATTTCTTTGCAAGTGCAAGTTCTCCATTATTGGTCACAGTCAGATCTTATGATTCTGTTTAGAACAGTCACTAGCCTAGGGGAAATGAGGCAACCATTAATTATATTCAACTGTGATTCAGAGCTGGGGGCATGTTCGACCTTCATGAAGGTCATGGTCAGTTTGAGGTGAGAGAATAAAATCAAGATTCTGCTTAAAGAGTATGCTGAGTGTAGGACGATAGTTTGGTTGGTGATAAAAGTATGTCTGCCAAATAGCAATTCAGAATATTTTCTAGAATCTACTAAACAAAACTTTATTTTGTTTTAAGCACACAGTTAAAAAATATTAATCTAAACTAGAAGTACAAGTCTCATGGGTAAAATCTTTTGGGATGAAGTAGCAGTTAACCTTTTGGTCTTTTAGGAATACTGCACTTATTGCAAGAGAGTTATAGCACATTGGCATTTTACTAACAGAAAACTGAAGTCTCTAAAAAATTGCCCTTCCCACAATGTTATTACACCAATAATTTAGATATTATGTATAAGAATTTGCCACAACTTTCACATTTTATCTTCTAATACCTCCTTTTCTTATTATTCCCCACTGTGTTCCATTTCTGCCCTCTCTCAAGTGTTATTTCCTGCTAAGCCTTTTATATTTTGACTTTTTAAATGCAAGATTTTAATAATTTAACAAGCATTTTAGCTGATAATTTTCACTGCAGGAGCTGTGAACTGTAATGCAAGACTAAATATCAGTCTAAGAGCTAGGATACCTAAGAAGTGCCAAAATTATTTTGTTATATTGGAAGTTGTAAATAGGGAGGATAGAGGCCTGAATTTTATTTATTTATTTATTTATTTATTTGGACAAGATCTTGCCCAGTCTGCAGACTAGAGTGCAGTGGCATTTATATCTCCCTGCCACCTCCAAATCCTGGGCATAGACAGTTCTCCCACCTCAGCCTCCTAAGTAATACAGGCACATAACACCATGCCTGGCTAATTTTTTGTGATTTTTGTAGAGGTGGAGTCTCGCTGTGTTGCCCAGGCTGGCCTTGAGCTCCTGGCCCAAGCAGTACTCTCACCTCAGCCTCCCAAAGGTGTGGGGTTACAGGTGTGAACCACTTAGCTTGGCCATGACCTAAATCTTATTACACAAAATGAAATGTCAGCAATTTGACAAAAAAAAAGCATACTCTAAATTATTGCTGAAGTTTATATTGTTATAGACATTGATATTTAAATTGTTAGAAATTAAAGGCATAAAGCCATATATGCTGCTTTTAAAGGGTGCACAAATATTCTAAGCCTCCTTTTAAAGAATTATTATAGTCTACAAAATTTTAAAATTTTCATTTTCATTGATCAGTGTATTAAATGTAATGCCAATTATTTATTTTAGGCCATTGATGTAATGCAATGCAGTTACATTGATGGAATTCACTGTATCTTAGTAAAATGGAAGAGACAAGATGAAATAAGCACACATATATCTTCTGTTATGGAGTAGAACTGAGGCTAAACTGTGTAGTGTTTGGATATTACTAAATGCTTAGGTAAAGTGTGTGTGTGTGTGTGTGTGTGTGTGTATGTATGCACATACATGCACAAGTATATTTTTCTCCCCATATTCTATTTCTGCCTAGGTTACGACATTCATTCTGAAATGTCTAACACCAGAAACATTATTGTTATGATCTCTCCAAATATGAAAAACAAGTAAAAGAAGCTAAAGGGCAAAAGTAGGGAATTTACCTATGTAATAATTGAGTTTATATTAAGAGTTTATTTTATGGAATTAGAAATGAGTTTGTGATAGACTGGATGCCATGTTGTATATGTATCTTGTTAAAACTTGTTTGTAAACAGGTTTGAAAACTTGATCCATCGTGCAGTAGAGTCACATATTCATTAATCTTTTTGCATGTTCAATGAAATGCTTTCTATTGAACTAGTTTCCTATTATGTATATGTGGTATCAGTGTATTTGGATATAGACAAATTGAATTTCACAATGTGTTTTAAATATTTAAATTCTTCTTTTTACTTTTGAAAACAATTAGCAAATCAGTATACAAATACCAGTAAAATGTGTTCAAAGATAATGTGGACAAATACAAATATTGAAATTTTTCATTACTTTTACTTCTGCATCTTTTGCATAGGAAGTATGAAAAGGCAGTATCTAGTGGTTGTTTCACTTCTTTGGATCTAGATACTCGACTGTCTAAGATATTAAACTGTTAGATATATGGCTGGAAACTCCTATCTGTGAGTCAGAGTTTTCTTCAGGCTGGTAAAATGTAGCTGTCTTCCATGCTAGGTTCGGTGTGATCTGCAAAAAGGCACTTTCTTTATTGCCAGCCCACTGAATTTCTGAATGATGACCTTGCAACCCATAACAAAGTCTTTCATGCAAGCCTCGACTGGCTGGATATGGGGTCTGTTTCTTGTCTCTTTTACCTTGGAATCAGCCCTGAGGGTTGACCTTACACATTTTTATCATTCTAGCTGAGAAAGAAGGAAGTCAGGTAAGAAGATAGGAAATGCCCTTCCCAAATAGGAAAAGAAGGCACCAACTCTCTTTGCTGTGTCTGCATTTCCCTAGCTTTAGGAAATGCATCTTGTTTAGCTTTCCTTCTTGGAGGCATCCTTTAAGTAGGACATGCGTTCCTTGAGGATCCAGAGAAGAATAGTTGCTTTTAGTTCTTGTACTAAAAATCAAGAGTGGATTAATTCTAAGTGGCCCATTTTGATAGAGATCCCTAATTTCCTTCTGAAGATTTGTGTGAGCATTGTTTGTGACCAGAGACCTTTATCTTGAGGATATACATGGATTCAGGAGAGATAGTCTTAACATAAGTCAATGCCAATTGAGAAGTAGCACAGAATCCCTAAGTGACCCCCCTCAGGTATAATAATATTGTTAATTACATTTTCAATCAATTGAAATAACAATTTAGAAAATAATGGTTTAGATAAACTCCTATCCAGGTTTTCTTTAAGGTACACTGAGAGAAAGAGAAAGAGAAAGAAATCTCAGATCATCAAAGATATCCTTAATAAAGTTAAGAAAACACACTAAGACTGCTGTAGTTCAATGATGTATAGTAGTAAATGGTCACTGGCGGTATTCTAGTTAATTTGTTTTCTTCTGCATATTGTTAAGTGGGCAGTGTAATTAATCAAAGCAATCAATCAATACTAACTTAATTTGTATTTTTTAGGTATTTCCAAAATAATCTAACATAAACCTTGCCTCAAATGTATTATTCTTGGGGTAAAGTAAGTATGAAAGAGAATGCAATGTAGCAGGCTGTGATGAGTTGTACACTAAGAGTCTAAAAATCACCTGGGTTCATTTTTAGTTTCAGTACCCAAAACCCAATGACTTTAATCCAATGACTTTAATACAATCTTTCCATTGAGTATAATCAAATATGTTTCATATGTAAACAGAGTTGGACCTAGTGATTTCTAAAAAATTCTTAACTGTGCAATATTATGAAATAATAGAAAAATATAACACTATAGAAAAGCACTCAGTTTAGACTAATATAAAGACAGAATCAGAAAAGTGCTTAGAAATGGTACTACAGCTAGGGCAGGGTTGACTTCAAGTGAGAGTTACTCAGTGGCATTTTCTTTTTTTTTTTTTTTTGGAGACAGAATCTTGCTCTGTCGCTCAGGCTGGATTGCAGTGGCGTGATTTTGGCTCACTGCAAGCTCCGCCTCCCAGGTTCACACCATTCTCCTGCCTCAGCCTCCCAAGTAGCTGGGACTACAGGTGTCTGCCACCATGTCCGGCTAATTTTTTGTATTTTTAGTAGAGACGGGGTTTCACCTTGTTAGCCAGGATGGTCTCGATCTCCTGACCTTATGATCTGCCTGCCTTGGCCTCCCAAAGTGCTGGGATTACAGGCGTGAGCCACCATGCCCAGCCTGAGTGACATTTTCTAAGTTAAATTTTTGAATCTGAAAGATGCAGGTGTCAAATAATACAGTCACAACTCAAACTTGTGCTTAAAATTGTTTTAGAGAAATATATTTCAGAATTTACTGTCACTTTTAGTCAAAAGATTGACATAGAATACAATGTAAGCATTTTTAAGAAAGGCCAACAATCCCTATCAACATGCAGTTGTCTATAATTACTTTACAAGTGTTATGGGTGATACATGTTAACCTTCTATACCCTGGATATTTATATATTAAGGACAGTAATCTTAACTATTTCAAAATATGTTTTTGAAATCTTTCTTAGGTTGTCTTATACTTAGAACATTAAATGTAAGTTTAAGAATAATTACCTAAATATTGTACTTTTTCTTCACATAAGGTAGATTCTGTGATGAGCTATATTTTTGTTATTTTTACTTTTTGGCACTAGGGAGAGAATTGTCTTAAGATTTTTAAGTCTTGGAGAAATTTGTTTATCTTAAAATACTTCGGTCAGAGCATTCTTTGATTAGAATTATGAATAACTACACAAAATTCAAAGTTAGGTAATGAATGCCAAGCTTAGTGGACTCAATTTTCAACTTAAAGAATTGATTTTCTTAACAATGTATTGTTTTAGTTGCGGAATAATGAAATAGCAGGATACTTAGGACTTGGGAGACTTACTACTATAGATACAGTCATACTTCAAATTTATTGCGTGTTTGCATGCAGACAGTAATAAAACAGGTGGTCAATAAAGGGAGTGTATTAGTCCATTTTCATGCTGCTGATAAAGACATACCTGAAACTAGGAAGTAAAAAGAGGTTTAATGGACTTACAGTTTCACATGTCTGGGGAGGCCTCACTATCATGGCAGAAGGCAAGCAGGAGTAAGTCATGTCTTACATGGATGGCAGCAAGCAAAGAGACAGAGAGCTTATGTAAGGAAACTCTTGCTTTTTTTTTTTTTTTTTTGAGACTGAGGCTCGCTGTGTCCCTGGCTGGAGTGCAGTGGTGCGATCTTGGCTCACTGTAACCTCTGCCTCCTGGGTTCAAGCGATTCTCCTTCCTCAGCCTCCCAGGTAGCTGAGATTACAGGCACATGCCAGCATGCCCCACTAATTTTGTATTTTTAGTAGAGACAGGGTTTCACCATGTTGGCCAGGCTGGTCTCGGACTCCTGACTCCAGGCGATCCACTGCCTCAGCCTCCCAAAGTAACTCCCATTTTTTAAGCCATCAGATCTTGTGAGAGTTATTGCTTATCATGAGAACACCACAGGAAAGACCTGCCTCCATGATTCAGTTATCTCCCGCTGGGTCCCTCCCACAACACGTGGGAATTATGGGAGCCACAAGATGAGATTTGGGTGGGAACACAGAGCCAAACCATATCAGGGAGTCACACAGATATTTTGATTTTCCAGTGCAGATAAAAATTACATTTGTACCACCCTATAGGCTATTCAGTATACAGTAGCATTATATCTAAACAACAATGTACATACCTTAAGTAAAAAAAAACACTTTATTGCAAAAAGTCTTAACAATCATCTAAGCCTTTAGCAAGTAGTAACCTTTTTGCTGTTAGAGGGTTTTGCCTCAATGTTAATGGCTGCTGACTGTTCAAAGTGGTGGTTGCAGAAATTTGGGGCGGCTGTGGCAGTTTCCTAAACGAAGACAACAATGAAGTTTGCTGCATCAATTGACTCTTCTTTTCACAAAACATTTCTCTGTAGCATGTCATGCCATTTTACAACATTTCACCTATAGTAAAACTTTTTTCAAAATTGGAATCAACACTCTCAATACCTGTTGTTGCTTTATCAACTAACTTTATGTAATACTCAAATCCTGTGTTGTCATTTTAACAGTATAACAGAACACCTCCATCAGGAGCAGATTCCATCTCCAGAAATCACTTTCTTTGCTCATCCATAAAAACAACTCCTCACAACTCCTCATCCATTCAGGTTTTATTATAATTTTGCAGCAATTCACTTACGTCTTCAGGCTCCACTTCTAAATTTCTTTCTCTTGCTATTTTCACATCTCTTTTTATTTCCACCACATCTTCCACTGCACTGTTGAACCCCTCAGTGTCATCCATGAGAGTGGAAACAACTTTTGAGATCCATCTGAGGAATCACTATCTCTGGACAGCTATACCCTAAATAAATGGATTCCTTAAATAATAAGACTTGAAACTTCAAATTACTTCTTGATTCATGGGCTTCAGAATGGTTGTTGTGTTAGCAGGCATGAAAACAGCATTAATATCCTTGTACATCTGCATCAGAACTTTTGGGTGACCAGGTGCGTTATCAATGAGCAGTAATATTTTGAAAGGAATCTTTTTTTCTTTCTGAGTAGTGGGTTTAAAATCTTCAGTAAACCATGCTGTAAAAATAGATATACTGTCACCCAGGCTTTGTTGTTCTATTTCTAGAACACAAGCAGAGATTTAACATAATTCTTAAAGGATCTAGTATTTTCAGAAAGGTAAATGAGCATTGATTTTAACTTCAATTCACCAATGGTGTTAGTCCCTAACAAGAGAGTCTACTTGTCCAATGGTTCTTTGAAGCTAGCCTTTGACTTTTCCTCACTAGCTATGAAAGTTCTAGATGACACCTTCTTCCAACTGAAGACTGTTTCACCTACATCGACGATCCGTTGTTTAGTGTAGCCACCTTCATCTGTCAGCTTAGCTTATCTTCTGGATAGCTTGCCACAGCTTCACTTTGTCCTTTTTTGTTATGGAGACAGCTTCTTTTCTTGAACCTCATGAACCAACGTCTGCTGGCTTCCAGCTTTTCTGCAGCTTACTCACCTCTCTCACCCTTCATAGAATTGAAAAAAGGGCTTTCTGTGGATTAGATTTTGGCTTAAGAGAATGTTGTGGTTGGTCTGATTTTCTGTTCAGAGAACAAAAACTTTATTTAGCTCAGCAACAGAAAGTTGTATCCTTGAAAGTCACCCTGGTAATTAATATATGATCAGAAAAGTAATTGACAATTTTACTTTGTAGGTTCCTGGGGGCTTTGAAAGAACTATGTTTATTTCAGGAAAGGAACAATAGTATGTTATCATTTGAAATGAAAACAGTAAAAATCTGCACTTTCTATTTAGTAGCCAGAAAATGTCCATAAATCCTGTTTTAGGGCACTGGAATTTGGAGTAAATGACCCATTGTTTGTATAAAGATTTAAACAAAGACTGATCATCAGCTTTATTCTTTATTATTAATGTCCTGTGCTTGTTAGTAAAACCCAGTTGCTTGGGTTTTTGTATCCCTGGAGAGTTTATTTTTGTTATCTTTTTCACTGTTAGGCTTCTTACTAAAGAGGGATTCAAGTAAGTAAATAACTTAAGAGAAGCAACAGGAATTGAAATCTATAAAGCTTTGTTTTCTCAACTTGGCACAACTGCATCTGCCTTTGCAGTCTGGGATTGGATGATTGATTTTATATCTTGGAAGCTCATTTTTATATGAGTGTGAAACGAGTCTTTCAAAATACACTTTGTGAAGATAACATTAATTAGTTACTGTCATCAACCAACAGGGACAAACCTCTCCTTTTTGTGATTTCTACAGGAGGATTGATTTAACTGTTAAATTTTGTCATGTTTTTCAAAGAGCAATAAAGAATCCCCCAGGAGGAAGAATGAGAAAAGAAGCAGCTCATTTTTGAGGATATGCTATGTACAAAACACCTCATAAGACAACTGACAGTACCTACCTTTCAGACAAATTATCTGAGTCACAGAGAAGTTACATAAATTAGTCGTGATCCCATAGCAAATGGTTGAGAAGATTTAAAGTCAAACATGTTTCCATTATTTAGGACCTATAAAGTGTCAAGCATCATGGTAGTCTTTGGACACATAAAGTCAACACAGGGCTACTTGGTAGGAGTTACTTCTAGGTAAAAGTCATTGTTCTCTAAAACTCTAGCCCTGTTAGTGTATTACAGAATGCTATTGGAAATGGAGCTTATAGACTATATGAAGAATCTGTAACAGAGGACATGGAAGCAGAGAAGTTTTTTTAATGTTAGACCAATGATTTGTATTACATCTGAAATGCTCCAAAATCTGAAACTTTTTGAGTGTCAACATGAAGCTCAAAGGAAATTCTCATTGGAGTATATTGCATTTTGCATTTTCTGATTAGGAATGCTCAACCGGTAAGTATATATAATGCAAATATTACAAAATCTTAAAAAATTCAAAATCTAAAATACTTCTGGTCACAACCATTTTGGATAAGGGCCACTCAGCCTGTATCACTGTCAGTTCTGTACTGGGAAG
The DNA here is from genome assembly GCF_000001405.40 of Homo sapiens. Lineage (NCBI taxonomy): Eukaryota > Metazoa > Chordata > Mammalia > Primates > Hominidae > Homo > Homo sapiens. The sequence continues at coordinate 156,878,489 of NC_000004.12, read as the reverse complement.
CCATATGTGTTTTTGAACAAAGGAATTATGTTATTTAGATTGACTTTGTTAATTGTAATTTTTAATAAAAATTTACAATTTTCTGGTGAATTTTATCTCTAGTAAAATTTAGTCTGTGATATTTTGCTTACATTCTACTTTGCTAAACCATTTCCTTATTCCTAAGCACGGAATGATTGGATCTGGTGACTGGACTTCACTGCTCCTTGCTCTCACCCTCCTCAGCAAATTTCAGTTTTACCTCCTCTCCTCTCACAGTTTTAATTCCTAGGTCTAAATTACAGATAGCCATCTGCCTACCCCCAACTCATGCACCTATTTACTAATTTCCCAAATATTTTTAAGCGCTTTCTATGTGCCAGGCCTTGAGTGCACAAATATTCGTTAAGTGCTTTCCATGTGCCATGCCTTGGGGCATGGTGGTAAGTAAGGCAAACCTAGTCCTATACCTCGGGAACTTACCTTCTAATTGAGGAGGCAAACAAGAAACAGCAATTAGTCTAATTGCTTTATTATATGTGCTATGAGAGACAAGGATAACATGTTAGGAGAGCATATTAGAAAAGGGGTGAGAATAGGGAATTATCCTAGCAGGGTAGATCAGGGAGATGACATTTGTGCTGAGACCTAAAGAGTGAATAGAGTTAACCAAGCAAAAAAATGTGGGATGCAGGTTGCCGGGGAGAGGTTGGGTGTCAGCTGGGGTCACCAAAGGGATGAACTCAGAAGAGGAAGTATATTTTATTTTATTTCCCATCTGAATTTTCTAGCACCATAGTGTCTGCACATTTAGATTTTATTAAATAAAAATGTAAAGTAGTATATTTTGCTTCACTTCCTGATTGCACATTCCTAGAATATTGGAATTTATATTTTAACTACCACAGTGCCTCGAATAATCCTTTGCATATAATATTTTCTCTACTGGTACTTGATTTAATATACTAACATTTTTTGCTTGATTTGGAATGGAGTCGGTAAAGAAGAAAGAATTTTTTTATAAAAATAACTTACATAGTCATTACTTACCCTATTATAATTTCACGATTGACTTACAATTATTTAGTTATGGTCATTTGAATGTGCTACTTAAAATTTGTCATGAGTAATTTTTAGATTAAAGAAGAGCAATGTTGAAAATGAAACTACTTGTGTATTTAGAAAGGTGATTACAATTGACAGTATTTTATTGTACATTTTAAAATAACTAAGAGTAAAATTGGATTATTTCCGTAACACTGAGAAAGGATAAATGCTTCAGGTCATGGAAACCCCATTTTCTCTATTATATATAATAATGTGATTATTAAGCATTGTATGCCTGTATCAACATATCTCATGTACCTCATAAATATATACACTTATTATGTACCCACAAAATTAAAAATTAAAAAAAGAAAAAGGAAAACAGAAAGGTGTGTAGAAGCTATATCATTTAGTGGTGTTGAAAGTTTTAATTTGAGATGTTTAGATAAATGGACCACTCTTTTTCAGGTTGTATTGTTTTTGACTGTTGAAAAGCAGAATGCAGATACATTCATTTTATTAATTGTAGAGCTCTTATACTTTTGAAAGAGAGCAAGTTATTGTGCTTTAGAATTGTACTGACTTTTTTTTGTTTTGATGGTGTCTTAACGAATAAAAATAATCTTATTAACAACAATAAAAATTCCTAGATTTCGTAGCTTTAATAAAGATAACACTTATCTCACCAGGTAATATGAAAAATAACATACAGTTTTAAGATTCCAAGGTTCTCACCAGAAGCTCTATATTATGAAGAAGAGACTGCTGTTATAATTTTGTGTATAAAGAAGAATCAAGCAGGGAAATTAAGGAGAAATCCAAGTAACCAAGACCTTTAACAGTGTACACAATGACTGAACTTTTTATAGGCTTTCTCAAACTTTTTCATTTTCATGCGATATATAAACCCTGCCCCTGCAGTCATGTGTATTTCCCTATGACTTAATTTTCTCATCTGTCAAATGGGGTACTAAATAGTACCTGTTTCAGAGTGTATTGGAAGATTAAGTAATTTGAAGTTTAGAAGATGTCTAATACTCAGTGAGTACACAATTAATATTAGCTGTTGTTTGCTCAATAGTCCAAATGATCAAGTAACTTTTTTCAATAAGGAAACACATCTTTTTGAACCTTTCGTAAACAAGTTCTTTAGTTGTTTTTACATAACTAAACAAATACTTATTTGGGTTAATTTGGTTTCTTTAAGGAGAACCTTGAAGAACTTTTCCCCAACATTTTATAATTTAAAATATTGTGAGAAAGTGACTAGAAACAGATACTTTTCCATTAAGTTTATAAAGGACATAGGGAAACTTTATATGCACACTCAGGTCATTGTTTTGTTTTGTTTGTGGTTTTTCAATACAAGAAAGTATTTGCTTTTGATTCTTTTTCTGTTCCAACTCATGTTTTCTTCCTCGGGAGCAGCTGTCATTCTTAGGTAGAATCTCCTTTCTTTGTGTACTCTATTAACTTCTCTTCCATCTCAGAGTAATTGATTCCTCAGCATTTTATTGATGATATGGAACAGCTTTTGAAATAATTTCTTCAGTTTTCTGTGCGAAATCACTTTTTTTCCCCCCAACAGGGTTTTGCTCTGTCACCCAGGCTGGAATGCAGTGGTACAACCTAGGCTCACTGCAGCCTCTGCCTCCCAGGTTCAGATTACAGGCGTGCAGCACCACACCTGACTAATTTTTGTATTTTTATTAGAGATGGGGTTTCACCATGTTGGCCAGTCTGTTCTCAAACTCCTGACCTCAAGTGATCTGCCCACCTCAGCCTCCCAAAGTGCTGGGATTACAGGCGTGAGCCACTGCGCCCGGCCTTAAATCACTTTTGAGGTAGATGTTTTTCTTTCCGATATGTCGGGACAAAATTACCTTTTCTTGTGCTGCAGCATTTTTTTCATAGTCTTCATATATTTATTTTACTATTTACCTTGCTTGAATGAAGAGACATCTGGTGAGACTAGGTTTTTACTGGCAGATAAGATGTGTGGACTTTCTTCTAATGGCTCAACTTCCACATGAGTGATGGTCATATTCCCTTTCCATCTCTGTAACTAGAAGGAAGGTTGATAAGCTTAGATTCAGCCCAGTTCTCAGTGGCTAGCATCATATGAAATGAAGTCAGGGTGTCTTTTATCTCTGTTGCCTCTGATTGTTATTGTGTTCCATATGGTGACATCATAGACATCTACAAATTCCACCATATGCAGTTACCAGGATCATCCCTGAATACACCCTGTTGATAACAGTTAACTTGCGGGTGTACCTCCTGCACTGCAGGCTTAACAGCTGCCATCTCTGTTTCTTTCTTCTTTCACTCATCAATTATTTTTGCTTTTTTTCCCTGTTAATTGCAATATCTGAATGGCCATACACATAGGAGGTTGTGAATAGTACTCTGGCCATTTAAAAATAATGTTTAAAATAGGGAAATAGGCCAGATCTGGTAGCTTGTGCTTGTAATCCCAGCACTTTGGGAGGCCAGAGTGGGCACATTGCTTGAGCTCAGGAGTTAGAGACAAGCCTGGACACCATGGCAAAAACCCTTCTCTACAAAAAAATACAAAAATTAGCTGGGCATCATGAGGTGAACCTGTAGTCCTAGCTACTCAAGAGGCTGAGGTGGGAGGATGGTGTGAGCCCCATAGGTAGAGGTTGCAGTGAGCTGAGATTGCGCCACTGCACACGAACCTAGGCAACATACTGAGACCCTGTATTTAAAAAAAAAAAATTAAAAAAAGAGAAAATGTATTTAGTCTTTTATAAATGCAGTGTTTTTGGCTAAGAGGCAATTCAAGGGAAGATGTTAAACATCTTCTTTCCTTTTTCTCAAGTGTGTTGGCTTTTTTGTTTCTTGAGCTAAATCATAGGCAGGCTACTGATTCATTTTTTATTTCAATTTCATTGACTTTGTTATTTGTAGAAATTCTTGGCAAAGCATATAAGGACTGTTTTGCTAGTAATAGGTTTCAGTTATATTTGAGTTTTCATCGTTTTTAGGGACTATCTTAGAAATCACTTTATACTTAAGCCTCTCAAAGGAGAGGCTTAAGTTGGAGTGCTCAAAACTAGCTATTTAATAAATGGTTAGACTATTCAAATAAATATTACAGAGCTGATGATCTATAATATTTTTCCTTCTTAATTCTATGAAAAAGGTAATTTTATGGTGTCTATTAATTTTTTCCTTTTGTATTATGGTTAAGACAATTTATTAACTGTATAATACACAGCTATATGTTATCATCTGTGACATTTTGTGAACATCCCATAAGTTAATGTCACGTATCAGAGATAATGTTCAAAGCTGTTTATTTTCTAGAAAATACTTTATGTCTAGTATTTGACCATGCCACACTGCCATCAGTATTGTAAGTCTCCTGAGAACTACTGCTGCACATGATGATATATGCATATGACACAATAAACACCAGATCATAGTTGTAATTCATGGATGAGGTTGGGCTTTCAGTGTTTTGAGCAGGAAAGACTTGATAGCTTCAGACAATTTAGTGAGTAAGGGAACGATCTTTTGGAGGACTGGGATGTAAGTCGTCTTTGAATTACTTTGTATAGAGGACTGTCATTTACTCAAAGCTGATATTTTTCATTTCTTTTAAAAGGCAGGACCTGTCAATTCAATTCTTCCAGCAAATGCTGTGAATTGCAAAATAAGTCCAAGGACTGTTCTGGCAGGGATCTTGGGATTAAAACAATGAACACATTAGCCCTGGTGCCATGTTCATGGACCTTCGAGCCATTATATTACATTTAAGAAATTGCATTACATAGTGTCACAACTTTTACCAAACCATATCCTTTTGTGCTATTATTCAGTAAATATTTTTTCTTACATTGGGCAAGGAATTTTTTCTTAAATGAATAGATTTCAAAAAGAAGTTATAGGAAATGTCTGTGGAAACAAAATGCGATTTATGTATACTGAATATTTATTAATTATCAACTATTAAGATGAAGAACATGCCCTTTTATGTAGTGCTTGAAATCATATTAAGAACAATTAATGGTACAACTACCACACCTTCAGAAACAGTGGTTCAGAATCATTCTGGAACCAAATACCTGGAAGGAGATTGTCTATCACTATCACTTCAGGAATTTGGGAGTAAGGGGTGGGCACTGTTCTCAAACTGTTCTTCCTGAAACCTGTCCCTAGTGAGCTCCTACAGTTGATGAGTAAAAAGGAATTGAAAAACACTAGTCTTGCAAGTGGGGTTTGTAATAAATAATATATCTTTTGTGTCTTTTGTAATCTCATTATACATTTAGAATTATATATGAGCATTCTTCTTCCTTATGTTTTTAGTTTGAGACAGGGTCTTTCTCTGTAGTCCCGGCAGTGGTGCAGTCACAGCATACTGCAGCCTAAAATTTCTGGGCTCAGGCGATCCTTCTGCCCTCAGTCTCCTGAGTAGCTGGGACTACAGGTGTACAACACTACACCTAGATATTTTATTTATTTACAGTAGAAATCAGGTCTCACTGTGTTGCCCAGACTGGTCTTGAACTCATGGGCTCAAGTGATTCTCCCACCTTGGCCTCCCAAGGGGTGGGATTATAGGCATGAGCCATCGCACCTGGCTGACAATCTTACAATGTAAAAACTTTTAACAAGAGACTATGGATACAAATAAATTTTTAATTTCCTAGCAATCCTAGAACAGTTGTGTACTTAAATGTTTATTTGGTACAGAAGCATTCCTTATCAAAGGTCAAGTCATTTGAGATTATTCAGCAGAATTAGCATGGAATGTTGGAATATATAATAAGACATATTTTGTGAGCTTAAGTAATTTCTAATCTAGTTAAAGAGATGAAACTTAAAAACATACTTTAATTAAAGAACCATGAAGGCCTATAAGCTTAAGTTGCAAAGTGTGTGAGTCTGAAGGATGTGCATCAGGCATTCAGATGGGATGAGAGGAGTGTGTACTAAGGGTCCGGGGCCCTTGGGCAAGAAGTCAGACTCTGGCACTTTGAAGCCTTGAGTCAATGGTGTGTTCCAATTGGAGTGCATCAAAGCAATACCACCAATAATGTTTGCTAATGTATGTGCTAGAAAAAGTAAATTCTTAATCACTTTTTTTTAGATTTGAAGATTTTGTCTTGTTTGCCTGTCTTCTGTGCCATAGCTTCATTGCTTGGATTTCTCAGAAATCCACATCTTTGCCATATTGTTTGAAATTGGGCTTATGTACACATACACACATACATTTAAGTATATTATATTAGCATATATTAAATGGCAAGCACACTAAATGACAACAGCTGTGACTGTCATGGTTTAATCAGAGTGTGCAAAGCTGATATTTTTAATCCATCATGGTAAATAAGAGTTTTAGTCGTCTTCCATTGTGTATAGTCTTTTATTAAGAGGTTTTCTTTTGTTGTTGTTGTTTGCTCTTTAGTTTATTAATTTGTTTTCCTTAAAATTTGCCATTGCTTTATTGGGAATCAATAAAACCATAGATTTATTAGGAAAACTATTTGAGAAATAGCCTTTAGCGTTATCTAGTAAGCAGTAGTACAGAAGTATAAGCATGCTGTCAATACATCTTCAGGTTCACTTTTATCTTTCTGTGTGCAAAACATGACTGGGATTCTAATGTTTGTTTACAAGAATACTTAAATATGATACACTGTCCTGTAACACTTATAAGTCATCCATAGACTCAATTTAATCTGGAATAATGTTTTTAAAATAGTTTTTAATTAAGCTCAACAATAAAGTACTTATATAGTATATTCTAAGCAATATAGTCTTCTTAATAAATTATATTCCCAGGTGTGTCTCGACTAATTTGCATTTGAAATAAAATATTTTAGGCACATTTTCTATTTAGTTTATGTATAAAAATATGTACATATTGAGCAAAAATTGTTGAAGGCTTTAAAATAAGCCGAGATTGATAATAGATAAGGTCTTTTACACATGACCCATTTATGCCTGGCGTATTTCTTCACCCATTTTAACTTTTTGATTGTATGTGCATCATTTCTTATCTTCAGTCAAATTTGGAAATCAAAATCTCAGAATAATGCTTTAATTTTTTGGTTAGACTCACTGGGTCCTTATAATTGCTAGTTTTCTCGATCTGCAGTCTTTGCCAGGGGGGGAAAAATAAATCTAATCCCTTTTAGGCCTGTTTATCTATAAATTCTCTAGTTTTGTTCCAGTTCCTGCCATTCATTTCTGTTTTAGTGCTAATATTTTCAAGGAGTTTCTTGCGCACTTCCCATTATAAGCTGATTAAAACCCCTGTCTTGGCATCTACTAATAGAAGTTGCAGCTGCTCCTATAAACTGAGCAGTTAATAGGAAGGAATACGAAGGATTATAGCCTTTTCCTTTTCACATTGTTTTTCCTGCACCAGACTCTATATAAAAAGCTCCTGCTTGTGAAGAATCATTTTGTTTGCCCATAGGATTTTCTCTCTGCATTAACTTTTAGTGTTTTGAACCACTCAGCATTCAATGTTTTTTACTCTCTTTTAAACTTTAAGTTTTCCTTTGTGCAGCTTCTTTAATGAAACTTTCCAATCGCTTTACAGAGAATAGCTTTTTTTGATCCTCTAACTATAGCAAGACATAGTATACAAATACATTACACTATAACTGATTTCAACTTTGGAAAACTGTGTGAACATGTATCAGTGAGAAAGTCACTTAGTTACTTTTAGGAAATAACTGTGTGTTAAAAGGATTTTTAATCTTCTGTAGTGTTTATACATCAACGGCTTAGGGTTGAACATTCTTTTGAAGCACTCATCCTGTATTTCGTATTAAATAAATTTGGATTAATAAGCCTTGTGGAAGTGTCTTCGTAATATTAATTTATTTATAAGTGAGGAGGAGAAGATCCATTTAAATACAACAGGGATAATACTTTGTTCAGGAATTATAGAGAAGAGTTAATTCCATAGAAACAGAATAAAGGAAACTCTCTATGAAGTAGAAGATAATAATATATCAGGTCCTCATCTTTTCATTCAAGACTTAAGACAAAAATGTCTCCTTAAATTCACTTCAGCCTTGTGGTTTTCTAATGTTATGAAATATTGTCTGTTTTGAAACACTTTAAGATTTATTTTCTGATGAAATTCCTTTGGAGGCAATACATGGGTAAGAGGTGGAAGGAGAGGAAAAAAAATCCTATTAAGCTAATAAGAGAAAAAACTTGTTAAAGTGTTATAAATATATAGAAAGAGTTGAAAGGAAGAAGACATGTTAGAGAGATGAAGTGGGGAAGTAAATGAATCACTTCGGTTAAGTGGATTCTTAATTTATTGCTGGCTACTAACCATGATCTTAGTTTTCTTAATTTTCATTGTGATACATGAAACAGAGAATGGGGAAAGTCTGAACCTTACAGTAAGTGATATTTAGAATCTTAGCCATCAATATGGGAAAATACATGTACCATAAAAAAAAGCTGGGTTTTTTTTTTAAGTTTGGGAGTTAAATGTACAATAATATCTATTTGACATTATGAGAGTTATATTTTCTTAAATTAGATACAAAAGACTCAGAATTTGACTGTATTAAAATTAAAATATTTATTTGTGTATGTGTGTGTGACAAAAACCATAACAATGCTTAAGGAATAAAGTCAAATCAGAACCAGTATTATTCTCAATCTTGTTCACTGAAATGTTTAATTTAAAAAGACACGAATAGGCATATTTGGTGGAATATTTTTATTTCCTCAGCTGATTCTTTAAGAAAGTATGAAATTATCAGTATTCATTTTATTATAGAAAATTTGTTTCAATTTTAGTTCAATATCCAGTGGTACACAAATGTAGTATTGATTAAATGAAGTATTGATTAAAAATTACAAAACTCTTGCGTTGAAGGGCTGGAAAACTGAGGTTTTCTTAGAGAAGAGGAGGATTACTGTATGAGAAAGCTAAATAATCCATATTGAAGACAATTGCAAAAACAACAGTAGCTATGTGATAAGCATTATTCATATGCTAGGATCATTTTTTTTTTTGAGATGGAGTCTTGCTCTGTCACCCAGGCTGGAGTGCAGTGGCGCAATCTGGGCTCACTGCAAGCTCTACCTCCTGGGTTCAAGCCATTCTCCTGCCTCAGCCTCCGGAGTAGCTGGGACTACAGGCACCCGCCACCATGCCTGGCTAATTTTTTGTATTTTTAGTAGAGATGAGGTTAGACCACCCTGTTAGCCAGGATGGTCTCGATCTCCTGACCTTGTGATCCGCCCGCCTCTGCCTCCCAAAGTGCTGGGATTACAGGCATGAGCCACCGCACCTGGCCGGTCATTTTTATTTAAAACCTAATTATATTAAATTGAAGATCTCTTCATCAACAGAAGTTCAAGTAAAAAAATTATCAGATTTTGAGGCTTACTGGCAGTGAAATAGTGATTCCATTAATTGAAATTAGAAACTAATGTAGAGGAGAAACTAGAGTTCCTAAACTGATCGTGAGTTTGCAGTAGGATATATTGAGTTTGGAACATTTTGGAATGTGATTTTGTGGTTTGAAAAAGAGTTCTGAGCTATTGCTATAGATTTAAAGAGGATGTGTTTGTGAAAGTACTTGAGAACACCAAGGATTTATGATTATAGAAAGAAGACGGAGGATAGAATCTTGAAGAAGAACCAACTGCAGGTATAAAAGGATACAGTTCTATAGAATATCTAAGATAGTAAAGGAAGTAAGAAGTGCTGCCAGTAACACAATAAAATATAGCCATTAAAAGGTCAATTAAGAACTAGCAGGTGGTTCACTGATAGAAAACTGTTATAACAGTTTTATAATAGAAACAGTTGAAATAGAAAACAGTTGAAAATGTCTGTATTGCTTGCTGTTTTAAGTGATACTAAAAGATAGTATGCTTCGAATTTTGGGAGAGTTGCTTTTACATATCCTCTTTGGGTTTTCCTAGGATGTTTTTGTTCATCGTAAAGCATCACTAGGTTGATCTTCTACCAGATGTACTGAGCCTTTCTTTGTTGTTTTAAATGTTGGTGACAGATAATCCTTAATGGGTAGTGTTCACACAGGACTCTTTCAGAACAATTTATTTTTCCAGCACTAAAATCTTCTTTGACTTTAAAGTGACCTGTGAAAGATTTAGTTTCCGACTCAACAATTAATTTTGCATTACATAAATATTTCATTTGAAGTTTCAAAATGCTCGCCTTTATTTTTGGTGACAGGTATGATTGTCACTAAAACTTTCAGATTTGTGACATTCATAGGATTTAATATACTGCATTTTTTGTCAAAAAGTATTTAATCTCCTTTTATCACATTACTTTTGTCAGTGAATCAAGTGATTTGGTCTTGGCTGGGTGCGGTGGCTCACACTTGTATTCCCAGCACTTTGGGAGGCCAAGGTAGGTGGTTCACTTGAGGCCAGCTGGGTGTGGTGGTGCACACCTTTAATCCCAGCTACTGGGGAGGCTGAGGCACAAGAATCGCTTGAACCCAAGAAGTGGAGGTTGCAGTGAGCCAACATTGGGCCCTGTACTACAGCCCGGGCGACAGAGCAAGACTCTGTCTCAAAAAAAACAAACAAAAAATTGATTTGGTCTTTTTAAATTTGAATCTAACTTCCACATTTTTTCTTTTACACTTACATAAATTCTTAGCACTCCGATCAATTCCTTTGTTTGGGGTTTCATATTTTCAGTTTTGTGAGCTTTGTTTAATATGAAAACAGTATGAAACCTAGTGGTATCACAAGTTCGTGAACAGCAGGAGCGATAAGTCACTTAAAATATGAAGCTCATGAGGTTGTGTTGATTATTTTTCAATTCTCTAATCTTTTTCTAGATGACCTGCCGCTCTTCTTAAGGTAACAACAGGGTGTGGGAGAATTGATACATGAATACTCTTGAATTGACAGATAAGTACACTTGGCTTTGGTGATGTTAACATAGCTCTGTGCGCACCCCTTTCACTACCATGACCATCACCCATTACCACCATCTCCTGAAGCAAAAACAAATCTTAAAGATTGTGAATGTGAAGACATTGCATGCTTTTAAAAGTCACTTAGTTTAAGAGAAAGAAGTATCACCTGGCATTATTGCCTAGAGCTCTGTCGTTCACGTAGATTGCACTGGTATGTGTAGAGCAAAGGGCCGGGGCTTCAATGCAGCAGGCTGGCTGCAGGTTGTATGCCCTGTCAATGAGTATTTGTTGATTGTTGACTGCATATTTATATGTAATTATAAAATCTAGATCTACTTAGAATATGATCCATACATGATTTATTAAAAATTTCAGCTTAATATTCATGCTAACATATTTAATTACTGATTTTAAAATGAAATATTAAAAAAATTATAGTATAACCCCTTTATAAGGATGCCTATTATACTCTACTTTTTTTATAACGTACTCCATTGTTACACTTCTTTATGGAAAGGAGTAAGTGAAAAATAAGGCGATCCCAGTTATTAACTGTCTTCTCCATTCCACTTACAACACTCAGTAGCAGGTACAGACGTGATGATGATTCCAGAGCATTATATGAGTCTGACTCCAAGGAAGATTAGAGATGCATTCACTGTATACCATTTTACCATGCATTTACTGTACTGTGCTCACTAATGGATTACAGGAGAGAACCTATTTACAATACTATTGTCAAGAAAAACTGTTTTAATTAATGTTAAGCAAAAAATTAGATTGTGTATATAATACTTAAATATAGATAGTACTGGTTATTTTTTTAAACTTTCTTTAATATCCTTTATGAAATAGAAGGTCTGATGGTATTGGTCAAATGGTACAAAGTTTCAGGATGAAATGACACTTAATGTACCAATTGGGGCAATAGTTACAATAATGTAGTGTATGCATGAAATTGGCTAAGAGGATAGATCTTAAATAAACACACACACACACGCACACACCCACACACGTCCCCCCACCCACTGCACATGGTAACTGTGTAGAGGTGAGAGATATGTTAAAGTAAGTCTGGTGAAAGATTTTAATTATGTCATTTCAACAGTTCCTTAGGAACTAAAAAATACAACATATGCAATCCTTGTGTTTGTTACTACTTTTCAGTCTGACCAAATGAGCTTTTTTTGCTGTTAAAAAGAAAAAAAATGTGGCACATACACACAATGGAATACTATGCAGCCATAAAAAATGATGAGTTCATGTCCTTTGTAGGGACATGGATGAAACTGGAAACCATCATTCTCAGCAAACTATCGCAAGGACAAAAAACCAAACACTGCATGTTCTCACTCATGGGTGGGAATTGAACAATGAGAACACATGGACACAGGAAGGGGGACATCACACACTGGGGACTGTCCTCGGGTGGGGGCAGTGGAGAGGGATAGCCTTAGGAGATATACCTAATGCTAAATGACACGTTAATGGGTGCAGCACACCAACATGGCACATGTATACATATGTAACAAACCTGCACGTTGTGCACATGTACCCTAAAACTTAAAGTATAATAATAATAAAATTTAAAAAAAAGTAGAGGAAAACTTTTTATGGTGTTTTGTTAAACGAAGCACTATTAACTTAATCAAAACAAGAACGAGGATCAAATTAAATCTATTTTATGCTACCTGACCCACCTACATCGCTCAAGAAAACCACTGCTCATTTTAAAACATATGAACTTCTGCTACAACTCACCCCAAGGGTACTGTTTACTGTTGCCAGAGAAGGAAGCAGCTTTGTCATCAATCTATGCCTGTGGTTTGGACCTTCCTCCCTGGTGGGGTTCACGATTTTTATTACTTTTTTCTCCTCTTTGTTCATAATGTCTTAATCTAGTTAGAAGTTTTCTAATTGGTAGAGTGGTGATGGTAGTGTCTTTTACAGTATAGCTTTAAGATAATTCACATGAGTGACTAACAGTTTCTGGCTCATTCTAGATGGCCCCAAATTGTTAACAGCTTTTGTCATTTTCCCTTAAAAACTATTGGAGTAAATTCATCCTTTTAAGGATGTACAATTGAGTTATCTACTATATTCTTTTCTATATACATTTTCTGATAAAAAGCTTTTTAAATTTCTCCAGAAAAGTTAATAATTTTTAAAATTATGTAATATAAAGAATTCCTAGATTGTTCTAAATTAGACATTGGATATGCGTTTTTCCTGACAGTATATCAACTAATTTTATAGAGTTACGTTGGAAGTATGTGAAATGATACCCCTGTGTTCATGCTGGACCACTTTGTGTATGTGTTTGTATCTGCGTGTGTGTGTGTGTGTGTGTGTGTGTGCACATGTATCTTCTAATCCTAAAGTGAAAAATTTATCCATTGTTTTGCTTCATGATGAAAAAGTTATTTTTGGAGAAAGGGTTCTTAACCTTCATTTCATAGATAAAGTGGTTTGTAGATGGCTTCTTGGGGTCTGGTGAATATTTTGAAATTATATTCTATTGTGTGAACACTGAGAGTGTATATAATTTTAGATTGTACAGATATATAATTTTCTGATTTGACCATCCATAGCTTTCATCAGATTCTCAAAACTTTCTCAAGCCATTGGTTTAAAAGGATCAAACGTAACTTTGGTTTTTAAGTAGTTGGTTCAGAAGTTTAACATACTTGAGGAATTTTGAAGGCTAGTTTTATAATTGGAGCAATTATAAAGGAACAGAGGATTATAGACATTATTTAGCAAATCATGTTAAGGTTTGTTTTTGTCTCAAAACTTTCTTCATCATTATATTCTTCTGTCTGGGTCATCCTTACTGGCATGCTCTTTATCATAATGGTGCTACTATATTGTACTGCCGTACCACACCAGAATATCAGTTCTAAACATTACCTTTCAAACCCCACATCCAGCACAGAAAAAGGCCATCTAAAAAAAGTTTTCATCTTGGAATTGTGGTGAGGAGGGGAATTGTGAAGAGAAAAATATCAAATTTGTTAATGATTAGTATACACGTTTTTCCCAAGTCAAGCCAAGAAAATGGCATTTTATTTTTAAAACAATATTTGACTTTTGACTTCAGAAAGGAAAAAATAATTTCTTCATGTATATGATACTTTTTTGAAGTTGCTAGTTTTATTTCAGGGATCTCATATATCATGGTGAATTAATTCCAAGTATGAATTTAATATAACTCTATTCCATAGAAACAGATTTTATGACACGGTAATCAGTTGCTGGTGTCTTTTTGTAGAATATGGGGGATCTCAGTCAGTTCTTAACACAGTGGCCTTCAGTAAGCAATGGTAGTTCAGAAACCAACCCTTACATTACCCTTTTTATCCACCAAATTTTATTTGTAAATATGTTTGCAGGTGAAATATAAACTTTTTTCTTAGGCAGTTTAGCCAGTCAGCAAATATTTATTGAATGTCTATTATGTGTGAGGCACTGTGCTATGTGTTAGGAGATACAGTAGTTAAAACAAACAAATGAACTAAACCAAACCAAAACAACAACAACAAAAAAAACAAGAAACAAACAGAAGCTTTGGCAAAAAAAGTGATTTTATTAATTAAATTATGCGCAGATACTTTAAAAACTAAGTAATCAAATAATTAAATGAATATATGTGTGAAAATTGAATTCATTGTGAGGGATATGAAATGTGTACTTTAATGAAGATTCAGTTTTTCATATTTTTAACCCTCATCAGTGAACACATTTGGAATGATCTCTTGTCTTCTCTAAGTTAATATGAAATTTACCACTTTTTAAGAGTATCAAATTCGGGAACGGTATTTATAATCTGAAGTAGAATTAATGTTAACCCTACTGATTCAAGCAGTGGAGTGAAGCCAGAATCCAGCAAATCATTAATAATTGGTAAAGATGTCTCTTACTTCATTGGTAATATTAGAAACACCCCACAAATAACCCACTGAAAAGCAGTAAAACTGTTATTGGATCATATTAGTTATTAAAGTTATTAGGATTGTTACTGTTTTTGTTGTTTTACCTATTTTAAGATAAAGTACTGTAAATATAACAGCTATTGCCAAGTTTACGAAAACAAAGAAAAAGTTACACTCAGTGGGCTGAGTTGAATAAAGAGGCAATAGGAAAATATACACTTGTGAATTAATCACACAAACATCCAGGTTGAAAATTTTCCTGGAGTAGTGTAATATAGTGGAAAGAAAATAGTATTTAGACTCAAAAGATTTGTATTGAAGGTTTATGTTGTCATTAGGAAAATTATAGTGTCCAGTTTTTCTGGGGATATTCACAGTTTATGTCTGTTTGTCTGACATAATTAATAACATCACTCTCTTTTATTCTCAAAAATGTATTGTTTAGACAAGATATTATATGATGACCCTTATTTATTGTGACAACTAATTCTGTTTTCATAATAATTAAGTGTGCATGATACAATTAGTTTTTATTTGTTGTTTTAGCTGGTAAAAACTTATGTATGAGAAGGTTTTTTGTAATCGGAAAATCATTGTAAGAACTATAAAGAGATACATAGGCCGGTTGTGGTGGCTCAGGCCTATAATCCAAGTACTTTGGGAGGCTGAGGTGGATGGATCATGAGGTCAGGAGTTCAAGACCAGCCTGGCCAAGATGGTGATACCCCGTCTCTACTAAAACTACAAAAATTGGCCAGGCGCGGTGGCAGGTGCCTGTAATCCCAGCTACTACAGAGGTTGAGGCAGGAGAATTGCTTGAACCCAGGCAGCAGAGGTTGCAGTGAGCAGAGACTACACTCAGCCTGGGTGACCAAAAAAAAAAAAAGAGAGAGAGATAAAGATGTTTGTATTCATTTGGGCAAAGTGATTAAGGTGACTATAAAATAGAGTAGTTTTATTTTTATCATATCACTCTTAAACAATTAACATTGGTGTTTTTTGGATTATTTGTGTAATGTCCATTCTCTGAAAGTGTGTTGTGTTGAAATCAACTCACAGACCATGGCAACAAGCAATATTAAAACTTTGACTTTGCCTTTGATAAGAGATATATTTCATTGAATTAAAATTCAATGGGTTTACTAAACTGAGAAAATGGAAGAATTATTTTGTAGTTTCATCAGTGTTCAATTTTGAATGTTCTTCAGTTTATTCTCTTTATCATCTTCAAGAGGTACCTCATGCCTTTCTATTAGCTTTGAAAATGAAAATAATTTTATTATTTCTGTAAGTCATTATCAGCAGTCACAGATGTTAATGTTCTTCCCTATTAATTTGATCTTAAGTGTGCAATTGTCAAACACTTCTGTGCAGCTCTATTCATGAATCCTGTTTTATTTCAGAGGATTTATTTTATTTCTATAAAATGGTTGCACCTTTGCTTTTAAAATTTCTTCCTGGAAAGCTATTGGAGGATTTGTATTAATTTGAAACAAAAGAAAACAAAACCAATTTTTACACTAGCAAATGAATTTCTAACTTCAAGGTCCCTTTATCAATAGCAAGAAGAAACTTATTCTGCCTAAATCTGAGAAGTCTTTAACTCACCATCGGGAGGACTACAAAACCTTGGCAAGCAAGAGTCACCTTACCATATGGAACTTTTAAATATGTAGTTTCTGGGACAAGATATTAAGGGATAATAATTGCTACTTTGCAGGGTTACTAAAAGCATTAAAAGATAATGTATATGAAAGTATCTGGCTAGTAACCTGCAATTTTGAGTAGATACTCAATAGCTATTAGTTGAGTTAATGAGCAAGATCTGGGAAGAATGAAGAGTCAAGGGAATAAATAATGCTCTTTCTTTTATTCCAAATAATGCTCTTTCTTTTATTTTTTTCTATGCCAGCCAAGACCCGCTCCCTTAAAGATTAGTACAAATGTCCATGAATAAAAGTTCATTGACTGACTCAGATAGTCATTTTTACAAGCTTATGTGTCTTTCCAATCCTTCAAATTTTTTTAACTTCCAAAATCTGAAATTGAAGATTCTGAACCACCTAGATTAGGATTTGAGGTCACCAAAAGACTCAATTTTACTATCTCCATCTACTGGCAGGTAGGAACTATATCCAAGCATCTGGACTGGCATAGAAAAGAGGAGAAAGAACATTTAAAAGGTAAGCAAAACGTATATTTTTATTTACTCTGAGTTTTTAAGCTTTTCTTATCAGAAACTGTTGTACTTTCATGTAATTAAGCTTGATACAATGAACCATATTAGAGCAAGAGAATTTGTTTAGGTAGTACAATACTCTTATCTGATTCTTCAACATGAGCAAGTGTGAATGTGAATGCCTTCCTTTCATAATGGGAGTACTTTCTGTCTTTGCACTTAGTAAGTTTCCATGTAGTCATTCCAATGCCCTCTTACTGTTTTCACTCATACTCCTAATAATCTTTAAACCGCAAAAATGTCTACATTCCCACTTCTGTATATTCTCTGACATGTTAGAGATAGTTTTACCTGGCAAATTATTTTTATTACCATCATTTAGAAAGAGTAGAAGTATGTTTCTCAAAGTTGAATTTATTATTCTGTTGTTTCTTATATTTTTTCATTGTCTGTTTATAATTATTTTAATTGGGCAGAAAGAACTAAATAAGTTTCCTGTTAATTGACCAGTAATAATTACATCAGTTCTTTTTAAAATTGATACTTTGCTTTTCCCTCAAAAATCTTGAAATTTCCTTGGTTTACTTTTCACTATGATCAAAAGTTGCAGTATGATAACTGCTATAAAAAATGCTTTGAGGGTTTATGTGGTTGTGCAGTAATAGATCTTTAAGTTTAAATCATATATTTTAAATAGTTTCATATTTTAAGTCTTACATTATGCATTATGCATATCTTTCTTTAAAAAGCCATATCTACACTTGAGAAAAGAAGTAAAAGACATTTGTCAAGATAATTAGTATTATTACTATTGCTGCAATTAAATAAGTATAATTTGTGCATTTTTTTTTCCCAATTAGTTTTCTCCTCCGCGCCCCGTGTCAGGTGTTTGTTCATATCTTTGCTTTCTTTCTTTAGATAGTGGTACATTTCTTTTAGAGGGATAGATGGATTTATAAGGAACATAGTGGAGAATTTTCAACTACAGAATTAGATTTCATGGAAAAGAATTGTCAAGGAAATGGTATTCCAACATGTCTGTTCACTTGCTCGAAGGTCGTGAATGCAGCCGGTCCATTTGCTGGGTAGGGGATTACACTCACATAAACAGTGCAAATGCCATAAAGGAGGACACTCAGATCTTCTTGTGGCATCTGACAATGTCCAGTCTGACAGATAACTCTTCAAAGTTGGCCCTGAGATCAGAAGACAAGGAAGTAGGTATTTTTCAATAATGTTGAAGGAACTAGTGATAATGGGGTGTTAGAGAATAATCTCACCTTGCTAACAGAATTTTGGTGAGCCTCATAAAGTCAGTTCAGTCTCTATTTTGAATAAAAGCATATGTCTTCTCAAATTTATTCCATTCTGTCTCAACTCCTCTTTTAGTACCACTGTCCCTTGATCTTCAGATCAGTTTGAAAGCTGTTGTCATAAAGCTAGCTGTTGCTGAAGAATTTTGCTAGTTGTTACAGTCAAGCCAATTCTAGAATAAAGGATACTTAAAATCTTCATGTTTAAGCTTTTCACTCTTTTTTTTTATAGGCCAGCTAGATGATAAAAATAATGTGCACTGAGGTGGAATAACAGCACAATTGGGTATTCTCATTGGTATTAAAAATGTCTTTGCTTTGAGAAATAAAATTTAAGCAACCCGTCTTCCCACAAACTATCCAAGCTTTCTTATTAATTTATGGTTTTAATTTCTTTAAAAACCTAATGTTTATATTTTTCGTATTTTTACATCACTTTAAGATTGACAAAAATTGTTACAGGTTGGGAGTGTGGGGTAGGGAGGTAATTTTTCTAGCAGGGCTGAATGGATAGGATGTTCACGAGCATATTTTGTTTAAACTTAGCCTTTGAGGGGCAATCATGTCCTAGGATAATTGCCCTTTATTTATACCTGATAGAGTTATGTGGAATTACTGCTGAAACCAAACATCTTGCTACAAATATAACTTCCAAATTTCAAATATCATGTATGCAATTGTAAACACTTTAGCACTTATTGACATTATTTAATCACATAAGATAGAAGGACATGATTTGTATAGAAGTGACCAAATTTAGTATTTTTCTTGCCCTCAATTAGCATTCCTAAGAAAATCATAGGTTCATCATGTATACATTATATACATTCACTTTTGAAGCTAAAATGCTAAATGGAACAGGAAGCAGTAAACTCATTTTCAGCATTAATATATTAATCTGAATATAGTAAGACTAAAATGAATATGTTTCTATTTTCTTATTTTTTAAAATTCATTTGTTTTGCTCAATTCAGAGCTTAAAAAGAGAATTTTAAGTATCTTTTAAATATTCATTAAAAGCATAAACTGATGGGCTTATTTGCATTTTTTCTATGAAATAGTAAATTTGTTTTGGTTATCTTTTTGTTGTTACTTTCATTGGTAAATTTTAAACATCTTCCTGTCAAAATGTCAGTACTTTATCTAGATGTTGTATGCTCACAAAGTAATAGGTAGCTACTTTCCATATTTTAAATTGCTTGTAAATTCTGCTCTGAATGTTGTAAATTATATGTCCAACACAGGTAGAAAATTAACAGATGCTTAATCTCCAAAACAGATGAAATTCTTTATTGAAAATATTTTCCTTAAAGTTGTTTGTTTAAAGGATATATAATGTGAATTTGTGGTTAACCACGTTAGCCAGTTTTTGCCACAACAGTATTATTAGGTGTAAATGTATTATTCTGCTTCAAATATTTTAGAGTGCCTAATATTTTATGTGAACTTTCTAATTTTAATTCAATAAGAGAGTTGATTACATATTTAAAAAATCAATAGTGAACCTTTAAGGTGAATGCTTCTTTTGTAATATGAATTACTCCTAATTTTTTTTCTTCCACATTCTGGTTTTGGTCTCTTTAATGTACAATTTAACAGAGTAAAAAACTTATAGTATTGCCAAACATGTTTCACTAAGTGGGGTGTGCAATTGTGTGTGTATGCAATTATATTCATTACTAATTGGTATGTAATAAAGGCTTTGAGGAGATTCTGTGTGTATATACTTGGCCATTTATCCTATTTCATAATAGGTAAGAAGATTATTGCTTATTTTTCTTCCATAATTGAGCCTTCATTTTAAAACGTCATATCCCATTGTATAGAACAAAAATAAGATTATTTTTTACCATTACCTTAAGGCAAAAATGCCATGTTGTCAAATCATTAACATTTCTATATCACATGCTTCAGTGCCAGAAAAATTTTATAGATCCTCTCTGCTGAGTCTTTTATGATGCAAATTGGGATATTTTCAAGGGCAGAAATAGTGGCACGCATAATAATAATCGCACCAGGATAACAGACTTAAATAAGGCTATTCCAGGTAAACCCAAACATATATTCACTGTATAATTATTTTGGCTGTAAGTATAGAAAGTTCTAACTCTTATTGGCTTAATAATAAAAGTTGTTTATTTATTCACAACACTGAGAAACCTAGAGTTGCAGTGATTTTATTGTGTTATTTGAGATCGGATCTAGCTGCATTTTTCAATACTACCGTACATCTGCCCACTTTTGTGCATCAACTTTTTCATTAGGCTAGAATCCATTATGATGGCTAAATGGGTGCAGGAGTTCGAAATCTCACTTCCATACCCGAAATTGTCTTGTCCCCAACTTTTCGGAAAAAGCCATTGTATTTACTCTGATTGGCCTATCTGAATGGGCTTATATTGATTTTCTAGGAATACTTCTGGCTAGGGTCAGTTCGACCTTTATTCAGTGGCTACTTCATTGTGGTGTTGAGGGATGATGAGAAGATGCTCGCTATATTAACATTCCTTCATTGCATGTGGAAGCTTTGTTGTGTACTTCCTGAACACAGGCCCCCATTTCTTACCAAAGCTCATGGACAAGAGGCTGGTGGTTGAGTTCCTGTACTTCTTATTAGATTCATGAGAACTTCAAAGTGTTTTTTAAAGACAGCATCAAGTCAAAGAAATGGTAAAATTTCTACAAAGTTGCTCCTTTTCCTCCTTCTTTAATTAAGCTGTAGAAGTAAATCAGAAATTTGAAATCACTATCTAAAAATCACTGCTTCTTGCTTAATCAATTTGATGTTCGTAAAATCAGAAGGCTTATACAGATGACCAATGATGTGTTATATCTTACATATGTCTTCTTTTTGATGACATCAGGAAACCTAGTATGTGTGGGTAAATTTTCTCTCTTATTCTATTTGAGTTAAACAGAATATGATGGCCAGTGTTCTTCCATTTACTTATATACTGATTAGTAATTCTTTTATACAAATATCATTTCATTTGAACTTTAAATCAACCTGTGATTATCTCCAGTTTATCAAAAAAAAAAAACCCTCAGATATCAAGTGGCTTGCCTAAAATAACAGATTTTATTATCAAATAGATCATATTTTACAGTTTAGATAAAATAATGACTACAACTGTGGCATTCCCAAGGTGTGGTACATTATAAAATGTGTTCTATTTTCAAAATAAGTAGGTATATTAAGAAAATGGCAGATCTCAATAATGCATACTCTAAGTCCTATCACTTTCTGCTGAAATATGTTTGTAGGTTATTACGGATGAACTTTGAGTAAGACATCAAATGTAAACTAAGGGACTTTATTAGGGTCTATAAATTGTAAATCATATTATCTTTATCATATACAGCGTCTGGAAGTTCAGGAGTGAAGGATGAATTGTTGAAGTGATATGTAAAATTGTTTTCTGCCACGTTTGTATAATCTCAAGTTTCTTTAGAGTATCAATAGGTATTAGGTGCTGCCATGTGCCAGGAACAGGTTATGGGCTTCAGTAAATACAGCTGACCTTCTAGGAATTGTAGTGTGGTAGAAAAGTGAATCCATAATTATGATTAAAATATTCACTCCTAAAGGGAGTGTACACCAGGAATCAGCTATTGCCTTCCAAAAGAGGTAACATCTGAAACTGGCTCGTTTACTAGTATAGCTGGTCCAGGAATGAAACCAAATTACAACCCTAGAGGTTATCGCATGAAGAGGACAGGACTTTATTTTTAAGCACCTGTAGAAGTACTTGAAACATAATAGGTTCTCATTATATAATTTTTGGTTATTTCTTAACTTCAGGAATAAAGTGATTAACTGTCTTCTGGGATAAGCTCAGGAGCCACAACTGGACATATTCTAAATAATTGTAGTAGTTCCGTGGTTTACTGAATATAGCAATCACTTTTTTTACTTTTCCTTAGTGAATATTTATTTGTGTAATTGGAATAGTTGGAGGTAACCAACACTAGCTTTGTTGTTTTATTGTGCTATTTGTCTTAAAGATATGGGAAATGATGATAAAGCAGAAACTAGAGTCTCTTTTCCCTCTAGCCCATCATTATACTTTTATATTAATAGAATTTAAAATATTAAGCATGTAAATGGAGTAATTCTATATAGTTTGCAATTGATGGAGAGAGATTTGTTTGCTCTGTGGACCTCAAGTATACCTTCTCTCTACAGAATCAAATAAGATTAGGATGAAATTACTCTGCATTTCCTAGGCAAAAACACACCAGCTCATGGAGCCAGTGAAACTATATGTGTATATATGTCAATGATTTTAACTAACAGTTGTTAAAAGTGAATTTTGTTAGTTGAGAATTAAGGAGATTGAAAGCAGATGCAGAAATAGCTATATCCACAAACTAGCAACATTAGGATGTAGAAAAATTATCACAGGTGAAAAAAACAGTGAGCATAGCAAAGCACAAATTAAATGGGTGAATGTGTGTATTATCAATTTATAGAGTGAGAATGGGGAATACATGCATCTCACTCTAAGAGAAATGCATTTTTACATAGTTTGAAAATAACACATATTTGCAAGCAAATACATCCAAAATGTCACAGGACATCCGTGAGGCCGATCTGTTTACTGGTGACATGTTGCTACAGTCGTGCCTACATGAAACAGAGGAGCAGAATCCACAACTGCCAAACTAAACCAAGATTCAAGACCTACTTCTTTCTACCTAATTTTAATCTACCATTTCTTTTCTGCTAAAATCAACTTAAAACATTAGCATAAAGACATGGATGATTTTTAGGAGTTGCATATTATCCAGAAACTTCCTCGTTAGTGTTATCTTTATTAATAATGTAGCATTTTGAAGGATTATAATTTGAATTGCATTTTATGATTCTCTTACTACCACCTTCTTTCACCCATAATAAATATTTTTTTAAAGGAACCAAGAGTATGTAATGCATGGTAAACATTATAGAATTGCTTTGATTTTAAGTGCTAAACTGACTACTTACAGATATATAGTGATTCTATATAACTGAATTGTATATATACACATATAGTCAACAGTTTTACAGTATTTACATTATTAGTCTCTCTTCTTTTCCTTTTTTAAATTTTTTATTCATTTTAGTTTCCAGTACCTCTACCTTAAGAGGAGTTGGGTATGGTAATCTGAAATTGTCTATAATTTTTAAAATGTAGTATTTATACATATTTTCATTTTTCATGTCAAGCTCGTTATCTAAGATATACAAGATTGATTCTTGTTAAGTGTGCAAGGATCATGTGATAAATATTTTAGTGATTTGACTATAAACTTTTTTTTTGTTTGGTAATTTGAGTATACTGTCTGTTGGATATAGGAAAAGCAAATGTTCAATAAAATATTCTCAAGTGGGTACTTTTCTCATCCCTAAAATACTAGTAAAGTTATATGTTCAAAAAAATGACTGTTAAAACAACAGAATATAAGCACAGTGTCTTAATTTGGTAAACTTAATGTTTGTTGCTTCTTTTTCTTTCTTCTTCTGATTATAGGCCTAGTTGCTTGAGATTTACATAAAACTTTGACAGTCATCTGCAAATCATAAGTGTTTGGTGGCAAACCTCCTTGCATTTCAAGGTGAATTTTTTGGGAGCAGTAATTTAACTTAAAAGAAAATTTACAATTTTTTTTTAACCACAAATAAGGCCCAGATTTTCAGTCTTTAAATTATGTTTAAATATAGTCCAATTTAATAGTGAATTATAAAGGAAAAAATGTAAACACAAACTTAAGTATATATATTTTAGCCATGCGCTTTATGACTGAAGATATAAAAATAGAATTCAGATCTTTTAATAGCTATGTAGTTTTCTCAATTATATGCCACACACTGCTATATTTGTAATGAGTGCCTTGGATAAAAGGCATTTGTTTTGAAGCAAAATAGGGTAGATGCTAGGTTTTAATAAATCTGATGGGAAAAAATAATTCATTGAGAATACTAGTTGCCAAAATGAGAAGGATTATTTTTATAAATTACTATAAGTACCTCTGAAATATGTAGATTATCGGAAGAAACTTTGGACAATAGGGAGAAACTCATTTTTGAAAGAAATATTTGAAAATAGTTAATGAATTTACTTTTCAAGAGTTTATGATTATTACTTTCTTTTTAATGTTTTGCTTTTTTATTTTTGAGGCAAGGTCTTGCTCTGTCACCAAGGCTGGAGTGCAGTGGTGCCATCACAGCTCACTGCAGCCTCAACCTCCTGGGCTTAAGCGATCCTTCCACTTCAGCCTCCCAAGTAGCTGGGACTGAAGGCACATGCCACCATGTCCAGCTAATTTTTGTTATTTTTTCTAGAGACAAGGTTTCACCATGTTGCCCAAGCTGGTCTCAAACTCTTGAGCTTAAGGGATCCACCTGCCTTGATCTCCCAAAATGCTGGGATTACAGACAGGAGCCACAGTGCCTGGGCCGAGCATTATTTTCTTAATAAAATTTGTCTATGTGGAGAATTCATCTAACTTTATAGTTCCTTCTGTATTCTTAGGAGATACACTGGTGCTAAATAATATGCGTAGAAAAGGCGTTAATTATTTTATATATATTATTACAGCCAATAGCAGTATCAAATATTAGCATCTATTAAGAGGAAACATGTTCTGTATAGGGTGCTTACTGCTGAGGAAAAATTTTAGCACTGAGAAGATTGGTAGCATTCAGTTATTTAATTATATCTCATAAATAAAAACGTTACAATTATTTGGGGTAGTTTAGGATTAAACAGGTTGTCCTTTAACCTTAGTCATAGTCTAACTAATATACAACCCTTCACATTGTGTCTTTCAGGAAGTTTCCTAGAGCAACATTCTTAAATTGTATTTTATTAATGTGAAATAATGTTAACATATTTTGATTAACATAAATACTAAATGAAAAGTAGCTGCAGTTACTGCAATTAGTGCTGACAATTGTGAGCAAAAAGAAATACCCATAATTCAAACAGCTTTGTGTGCGATAGAAGGTGTATTAGTTTTCTAATATTATGTAAGAAATTTCTACAAATTTAGCAGTTTAAAATATCCTTTATCAACTTCAGTTCTGTCAGTTAGGATTCCAGGCACCACGTGACTGAATTCTTGTTCAGGGTCTTAGAAGATTCAGATGAAGGTGTCCACCAGACTAGACTCCTTTCTGGAGGCTGTAGAGAACAGTCTGCTTCCAAGCTGACCAGGGTCCTCAATCTTTCAGAACTGAGTTGTTCATTTCCTTGCTGGCTGTCATCCTTAGACTGTTCTCAGCTTCTAGAGGCTTCCCACATCCATTGGCACATGGCTTCCTGCATTTTCAAAGCCAGAAATAAAGAATCACCCTCCTGTTGAAGTATCTCTCACACTTTGAAATTTCTCTGGGTTTAGGAAGGACCCAGTTTATCTTGTGGGCTCACTTGATAAAGTTAGACCCACCCAAATATGATTAACTCAAAGTCAACTAACCTAATCATGGGAGTAATATCCCATTAGATTTCACACACTCAAGGAGAGGATTATGAAAGGATGAGGGACAATTGGAGATCATTTTAGAATTCTACCTATCATAAAGGAAGTGAGATCACTAGTGCGAAGATAAAAGAAGATACAGACTTTAAGATATTGAGTAGAGAGACAGAGAATAGGTTGGTGGAAAGGGACTTAGGTTTCTGGAAGTAAAATAAATGAAGAAGAGGAAATGGCAGAAAGCTATAATACCAAGACAAAAGGAAGAAAGAAGAAACATGTAGGGTTTAATCTGAAATGTCGTCATTTCATAGGACTTAGTAAACTCTGTTACACAGCTTGATGGCACATATCCAAAAGGCAGTGAATACAATGATACTTACCTTATTTTGGAGAGTAATCTCTCCATGATGTTACTGCAAATACAGTGTTCAGTGTTGTGCAGCATATCTCCAAATTATGAATACCAATGAGGCATTGCTAAAGACTGTTGTGATATTATGAGTATATAAAAGTTGCACTATATAATTGTCAGATATCCTACCATGCATATCACTTCATGTGTTCAATGTCCAGTCTAAGGCTTTTACTTTTTTTAAAATAAAATAGTATTAGAAATTCAATAAGGGATATTTAAAAGTTTTTGTTGTTGTTGCTGTTGTTGTTGTTTTTCTCATTGGAAGTTAGCATCCTTACACGGATTTTTTTTTTTTTTTTTTTTTTTTTTTGAGATGGAGTCTCATTCTGTCGCCCAGGCTGGAGTGCAGTGGCGGGATCTCCCCTCACTGCAAGCTCCGCCTTCTGGGTTCACACCATTCTCCTGCCTCAGCCTCCGGAGTAGCAGGGACTACAGGCGCCCGCCCCTGCACCCCGCTAATTTTTTGTATTTTTAGTAGAGACGGGATTTCACCGTGGTCTCGATCTCCTGACCTCGTGATCCACCCGCCTCGGCCTCCCAAAGTGCTGGGATTACAGGCGTGAGCCACCGCGATGGTCCTTACATGGATTTTTATGGCCTGGAGCCTATAACTAGCCTAGTTCTTACATTTTTTGGAGTGGTTCAATGACTGCTTATTTTATAACTTATCAATTGTGGGTTTCGTCTCATTATTAACTCTCAACTGGTTGGGTATAGGAATACTTCCTTTCTCAGCAGTGCCAACTTGCCCTTTCTCTCAATTCTCTCCCCAACATTTTAATAAAAAGGAGGAGAGATATTATTAACAGTATATTTTAGCATTTCATAAATGTGAAAAGGTACCTTGCCTAATAAACTTGGAAGCCATTTTGTACTATACTCTGCCCTTGGAGATTTAGAATTCATATTTGTGTATTCATGCATTGAGAAGTGCTGCAACATTTTTTATATTTTAATATTTTCATGTACTGCTAATAGATCCCTTATAACAAGAAATTGAGACCATTATTTTGATCTTGCTTTACTTTTCAGAGTCATTTAAGATTTAGGTTATTTAGTAATTCCAGTTCACGTGAAGCTCTGAACTTGTATTGCATACCTTTTTTGTTTTTCCCAGAAGTTATGGGTCCAAATAATGAGCTGTTATTAAGAACATTTTGCCAGCTCAATTCCTAAAGCAATGGTAATAAAAAGAGGTAAGAAGCTGTAAATAGTGTGTCGTATGGTATGCTAATTGACATTTCAAAGATCAGTGAGAAAAGCTGAAAACAGTCTTTTCTACCTATCCACTTCTGCCTCTTTTATCCTCACATTTCACTTTCTTCAAATATCTTAATACCCTTCTTATTTTGCCATATATAAAATTAATGCAAATCTTTGAATAATTAGTTGACTGTAGCTCTGCAGCTTTAAGTTAGAGAATTAAAATCATTATTTGTATTTTTTAAAATAGAATTATATCTAGTGTATTTTTATTCTAAAATGTCTCATATTTGATAACTTCTCAGAAATTTGAATGTTAACTCAGCTTTATTGTGATTTTAGGACTCCAAAAGAGTTTGTAGTTGACGTTTCAGTAATTAAATTCCTTAAAAGAGTAATTTGCTATGTTCCTTCAAGTATAAATATGAAACAGGTTTTTATTCAATAATGATAAAATAATCTTTTTTCTGGATCAGTTCTGGAAAGAGTGGTATTTGGCATATATCATATAAAACACACTCAGCACTTGTCTGAGGTAAAGTGTGAATAATAAACACTTGCTTTGATACCTATAATTTTTGAAATCTAAATGTATGTCTATGTCTATGTTTTTTGCTTTAGGAGTACAAGATCCTCAGCATGAGAGAATTATTACTGTGTCTACTAATGGAAGTATTCACAGCCCAAGGTTTCCTCATACTTATCCAAGAAATACGGTCTTGGTATGGAGATTAGTAGCAGTAGAGGAAAATGTATGGATACAACTTACGTTTGATGAAAGATTTGGGCTTGAAGACCCAGAAGATGACATATGCAAGTAAGTGATCATACTTGAAATCCCAACAATGTAACAACTGTTAAAAGTCTTTCAAATTGCTTAATTTTGATGATCTGATTTTAAATGACATCTTTTGTTTTATTTTTCTGATGATCTAAGAAATTTCCAGCCTTATTGAAGCTATGTTTTATTTGAAGTCTTCATTTAAAATCGGAAGACACATTGTGCATACAAAGTCATTGTTTTCTACCTACTTCTAAAATTATTTAATATAATTTATGGTAAAAAAGCATACATGGAATAAAACCATTTAAAATA
Source organism: Homo sapiens (assembly GCF_000001405.40). Lineage (NCBI taxonomy): Eukaryota > Metazoa > Chordata > Mammalia > Primates > Hominidae > Homo > Homo sapiens. The sequence continues at coordinate 156,849,941 of NC_000004.12, read as the reverse complement.
AGGATTAGAGAATACAAAGCTGTATAAAGGACTGTAGTTGTGCTAGAAAACCAAAGTTGCGGTTACTGCTAAAAATCTTATATTTGACCTTCCTCATAGCCAAATCAATAAAATAAATGATAAGCTACTGAAAGAAAAAGTTCTATCCACAGGTACATATTACCTGGATACATACCCATGCACAGGACTAAGAAGTTTGAATATTACATCACAAAGAAGAAATATAGTTCAGAAAGCAGCATTAGATATTTAGGCTAACGTTATGCCTTGCCAGGTAGGAATTCGTCATAATTATCCTAGAAGCATTCATGAACCAAAGTCAGCTGGAGTATTTCACCCACGCAAAAGACCACCTACTGTATGTCACACAAATATTACTCTGTAAATCCCATATGAATACACTTGTCAAGGTTGGGTGGTCTTACTGAAGATTTTTCACTTCAATGACATTTGTATAACATGAAAATATTTTACTTGAACTTCACTGGATTTTTTATTTTCTCTTTGATATACAAGTTAAAAGAGAATTTTCATCTCATGGTATATTACAGATAAATATTTCAGTACAAATGAAATAAACTTTGTACTTGCTGTCATCACAGTTTTTATCTTTAGCACTTACATAGTTACATATTCTTCACATTTGTTCTTTCTGTGACTGTGCATTTCATGTTGTTGTTTTTCCTTACATCTATAATTTTAGACTTTGAGAACTAGAAGCTACCCTGATTATCTTTAGAAGACTACCAGAGGAGTAAAGCAGATGCCCTAGATCTCGTTCAGATTTGGTACCTAAACAAATGCTAAACCCATTTTTCCTAACACCTATTTAGGCAGTTTTTCATCATGCTGTACTGCACCTCTTGTCTTTTTTTATATATAAACATAATCTTGTCAAAAATTGCAAGGGGTGTAAGATTTTGCCCTACTTGCAAAGTAGTAAGTAATCCTATCCCTTTTGTGGATGCTAATGAAGACAGGAGACTTCTGGGTCAGAGACAAAGGACTTCATTACAAAAGTAGCAGTCACTGGAGTATTATTAGCACTTTCTTGTGCTTTCTCCTAGAGTTCCAGTTCCCACAGGTTAACACCAAGAGAGCCATGTGACACCAGCTACCCATATTCCTTCCTGATTACACCTTCTTGTCACTGCAAATATAATCATTGTCCTAAATTTTGTTACTCATTCTCCTGATTTTCTCTATAATTTCATAAGAAGTACATATTTCTCTATGTGTGATCTTACAAAAATAGTTAATTCCTTGGCTGTTTTGAAATATGTATCAATGGAGTAATACCATGTGCTTTCTTTTATGATTTAACATATGTTTCAGAACAAGCAAAACTAAAAAAATTATGCTTTAAAAATTAGTTCATATTGAGGCAGATAGCTTATTAGATCATTTGTTGTCTTTGACGTATAATATTTCATCATAGAAATAATCAACCTTTTTTGTGTCTTCTGCTTTGAGGAACGTTTGACTTGTTTCCAGTTCTCCTTGTGCAAAAGAGCAATAAAACTTTGAGACTTTCTGACAATGGTTTCAGTGTTTTAAGACATTTATATTTTCAGCTTTACTAGGTAGAGTTAAATTGTTTTTTCAAAATTATCAGTTTATACATTTCCCAACAATATACAAAAATTTTTGTTGCACAGCATTCTCACCAACTTCTGATCTGTCTTTTAAAAAATTGTAATATGGGTAAGTGTGAAATTGTACCTTATCATTGGTTTTATTTTGTTTTTCTGATTACTAATAAGGTTGAGAAATTTTTATATTTATTATCAGCCATTCATATTACCTTTTTATCATGCCTGCTTATGTCTTTTGCTCCTTTTGTATTGATCTGTTTGGCTATTTAAATTTTGCCTTTAATTTTTCTTTATTTATCTGGAATTTATTTATGTTGGTGGTATGAGGTTTTTCAGGAGGGTATCCAATAGTATGCCAGCATCATTTATTGAATAGTCATTGTTTTCCCCAGTGAAATGCAAAGTCAGCTGACTTGCAGATCGGGTTTCTATATGTAGTCTGCTCTGTTTCTTCTGTTACTTTGGTCAATTTTGTTTTTCTTAAATGAATGACACTGTCTTAACTGCTGTAGCATTCTAGAAGCTTTGTGATAAGCAAATCTCACCTTATTTTATTCCCATTTTGGAGCATTGTGGATGTTTTGCTTTTTAGTATAAAAATAGGTATAAAAAATGTTGTAAAGATAGTACAGAGAGTTTTGTATACTTTTAACCCAGGTTCCTCCAATGTTAGCATCCTACATACTTTGGCATATTTGCATAACTAAGAAATCAATATTCATACAGTATTATTAACTAAACTACAGGTCTTATTTGGATGTCAGCAGTTTTTCCAGTTTGTCACCTTTTCTGTTTCAGGATCTTTTTCAGATTAAACTCATTGCATTTAGTTGTAATGTCTCGTTAGTCACCTAGAATCTCTGACTGTTTCTCTTTCCTTGTGTCTCATGACTAGACAGTTTTGAAGAGTACGGTCAGGTATTTTGTAGAATGTCCCCCCAGTTTAGATTGTTCACATGTTTTGTCATGCTTACACTGAGATTATAAGTTTTGGGGAAGAATTCCAAATAGGTGATATGCCCTTATCATATCAGGAGGTACATACAACCAGCCTTACTTATTAGTGATGATGTTAGCTTTGATCACTTACGTATGGTGGTATCTGCTGGGCTTCTGCTCTGCTACGGTAATATATTTTTCTTTCATATTCTATTATTTGGATGTATGTAGCTAATTCTAGCCCACACTCAAGGAGATACTGATTACACTCCACCTCCTAAAGGGTATATGCATATATTATTTGGAATTCTTCAGCAAAGAAGGTTTGTCTGTCCTTCCTTTTTTCATTTCTTCCTTCTGTCATTTATATTAGTAAAAATTAATAATATTTATTTTATTATTTGTGTTATAAGCAAAATCTATCATTATTAACTTTCTTGCTGAAATTGTTCTGTCTGCAGCCGTTGGGACTAAAGGATTTGCTCTTAACATGTCAATATTGAGTATGATGGTTGATGAAGGTTTATGTTTTGTTTTCCTTCAATTTACTTTTTCATTTGAAGTGCTTTCCTTCGTTTTTATTTTGCTAAGAGGCATTTTCCCCTTAGGGAAAATATCTTTATTATTCTTTTCTTTTGGATTTAAAAGTAAGCTGCCAACATTATGACACTTTGTACCCACTGTGTGTTGTTTAAGAACAAGGATATTTCCCATCGAACATTAGTAGCAGTATCAAGTGAAATAAATTTAACATTAATATGAAACTCTTACCCAGTGTTTCCCATCATCCCCAAATGTTTTTTAATCATTTTTTCATCTTTTTGATCTAATAAAACATTATAATTGCATTTGGTTATTGTAACTCTTTCGTCTTCTTTAGTCTGGAAGAGTCTTCTTGTCTTTTCTTACCTTTCATGACATTGGTCAGGAATTTTGAACAATTCCTGACCATTCTACAGACTGTCTCTCAATATTAATTTATCTGAATATTTCTTCATAATTAGATCTCTCAATATTAATTTATCTGCATATTTCTTCATAATTAGGTCCTGCTTAAATATATTGGCCAGAATGCTCTTTGTAAGTATTTCTGATTGCTTATAATGTCACTTTCTTGCATTATCAGTGACATGAGTTTGATGACTATCCACCAGATTTCTCTGTTGTGGATGTGCTTTGTTTTTCCACATTGTAATTAATGTGATTTATGGGGATATACTTCAAAAACATGCAAATCTTGTTCTGTGGCAGTCTATCACCCAATTTTTTTAGCATCCATTTATGAGTCCACTTTTAAAGACAGTTATTCATTTTATGTTTTCTAGGCATTTTTTTGAAGTTTTCAGTTTTATTGTCATTAGTATTTTCACAATGTGTCCTTATTAGATTTTAATTTCTGCTGCATCTTTATGTCTTTTGTTTTATTACTAATATTGTTTTGTGCTCCCTCCTCTTCATTTTGCTTTGCTTTTCTGTTTCCTCACTTAGTCTTGCCTATGATTTGGTTTATTCATTGTTCTTTCAAAGAAACAAATTTTGGCTCTGTTATGACTGTTAAAGAATAATGTTTTCAAAAGGTAAAATTTGACTTCTCTGTAGATATTAAGTAAACACATATTAAATGTTTTATTTAACTTACTAATAAAGTGGTCAATCAGATGTTATAACCAGTTTAATAACAATTCAAAGAACAGACACAATTATAGATTGGGAATATAGAAATAAATGTGCAAATGGAGGCAAAATTGGCCTCTTCCACAGTAAGGGAGAGAACTCCATTAAACTTCCACTGGACATAGTTTATTTATATGTCTATAGACAATAATTATTTTTATTTGATATAAATCATTTATACCTTACTGAGTTGTAAAATAGTTCAAAGGCAATAAAAGGTGCTGAGCTCCGACAGAATTGGAATTAGATAGCCAGGAGGGAATTATTCAAAGCAGAAATTATGAATAATTTTCCACAAAGCACAACTCTTTCTCCACATGGCTAGCTTCTCTCTCTGTATATATATATATTTTTAATTTATTTTCTTACATTCATTATGTCCTTTGTTCTCTTCTGTTATGAAGTACTTTCTAACTTCTGAAGTTGAATGTTATTTTAATTGTTTTATTTTTAAATTGTTCATATAAACTTAATAATTTCTTTATAGATATTGTGTAGAGGCGCCCTGCCAATTTTGATAATGTGGTATTTTATTTTCGGTCCAGTTCAAGATTTTTACAATATCTATTGTTCTCTTCTTTTAAAGCATAGATTATATAGAAGCAATTTTTAAATTTTCATATATATATGAGTTTTTAAAATGCAGTTACAGATTTCTAAGTTGTGTTTTGAATAAAGAATTAAGTTGTTTGAAATTTAATAATTGCTTCATTTGCTTCAGATATTTAGTTTTTTCAAATATTCTTTGTTCAAAGAATGCATGTTTTTGCAGTAGTGTATTTATGTTCCTATTACATCAATTTTTGCAGTTGTGCACAGCATCTGTATCTTTTCTGATATTTTCTTTGTGATACATCAATTTCTGAGACAGTTGCATTAAATTATTTTAATAGAGGTTACATATATTTGCAAATTTCACCTTGTTGGTCTGTTGAAAGCTTTATATCATTTAAAATTATGTTAGTTGATGCATACAATTTCAGAAATGTAATATTCTTTATTGTTACTAATCTTTTGTTTTAGCCTCAAGAAGTATATTACGCCTAATGTTAATGTAGCAAATCAAGTAATTTTGGTTATTTTTGTCCGGCATTCTTTCCATTCTTTTACTTTCAACTTTCTTATGTCCTTGTTTGTATGTGTCCAGTCATGTTAGTATGTGTGTCTGTGTATGTTATAGTTGTCTCTCTAGAAAGGAACATGAGTAGCATTAAAAAAATTCCAAAGAAATCTTCATATTTTCACTGTGGAATTTAATCTAGTACGTGGATTGTTTGTATGGATATTTTGGATTCTATTCTATTACTTCTTTTGTACTCATTTTCTGTTGCTTCAGTTTCCTGTCTTGCATTCATTTAGCTTGTTTTCTTATTCCATTTTTCTTTTCTACTAATTTAGACTGTACATCAATTTCTATTTTGAATGACTACTTTAGAAGTGCACACTGAACTTAAAAATATCTAAAGCCAATCAATGTTTGCCCTATGCCAAATAATATAACTGAGAACAATTTAACTAACTAAATGCTAGCTTCTAAGACACCATGACACTATGTTGAGAAAACAGAGCTGAGTTTATTTGCTTTCTGTGGTGATGGAAAATTTTACATTGACAGATTTAATAGTGAATTGGAGGAAGAAAAGCTAAACTAGATTTTGTTAATTTGGAGTTTGGTCTAAGATGAATTTTTCAGTGTGGGGACTTGATTAGGACTGGGCAAGAATCAGGATATAATAGTTTAGAAGAAGCAGAAATAGCAAGGCAAGGATTTTGAGGACAGGAGTTCAGTAGTATTAGGTAGTAAACTATTGATGCTTCAGTTGAAGGAGTTAACAGTTCTTTTGGGAAGTTCCTATAATGAACAGTAAAGTTATTGTCCTTGGCAAGAATCTCCTGGAGTCTACTGAAGACAATAAAATAGATAAGTTACTGTAAACAGTGAACTGGGGAGGGTAGGTGGTTTTGGTCCTTATTGTCCAAGCTGGTTTTGGTTCTCACCACAGTTACTACCACTCCTGAGAATATGTAACTGGGTTTTGGACTGTAATTCACAATTTCAGTCTTGTTCATGATGGCAGGAAAAAGACAGGATAAACAAACAAACAAAAAATTCAGTACCTCTTTAAGATATGTTGTGGGAACCCTACTATAAAGTCAGCTAAGAACAGTTGCCCGGTGTTGTGGAAGATGCTATGGTTCCTTTCTGTGGTATGCCTACCTCAGCCGCTGGCAAGGGGAAGGGGAAGCAGATTAGCTTAAAGTGTTCGTTACATATCCCCAAGACTTGCTTTAGGAGCCCATCTGTGCTGGAGCACATGCATGGTGGTTACTGTCTCATCCTGTTTGGACTGCTGTAACAAACCATAAACTGGGTGGCTTATAAAGCACAGAATTTTATTTCTCACAGTTCTGGATGCTGGGAAGGCCAAGATCAAGGCACCAGCAGATTGTGTATCTGGCGATGGAGGACCAGCTTCCTGGTTCAAAGATGACTGTCTTCTCTCTGTGTCTTCCCATTGTTAAATGGGTGAGGGATCTCTTGTGGGCCTCTTCTATAAGACTGCTGATCCCGTTCATGACCTAATCATCTCCCAAATACCCTACCTTCAAATACCATCACCTTAGGGGTTAGGATTTCACATATGAGTTTTGCAAGGACACAAACATTCGAACCATACCAGTGACCTAAACAAATCACCAAAGCTTTAAGGAAGAAGAGGAGGGTGTGTTGTAGTTGTGTAGGCAAACATAGTGTCTGCTACAGTGCTGTGGCTTTAAATAAGAAGTAATCTAAGTATTGAAGCATAGAAAGATTAGTCATAATGAGGAGATATATGGGAATGTAATGTATATTGGGCCTTGAAGAATAGGCAAGACATCAGTAGCTGACTAGTACCTAATGGACACTCACGAACAGTTACTGAAAATAAAATAACAGGTGGGTTACAGATAAATGAGAACTACAAATAGTGTTAGACTGGAGATAGAGAAAATAATTTGAGAACAATGTGTTTCTCTGGAGCCTGAGATGCCTTGGAGGTGTGGTAAGTGGTGGGTGTGTAATGGTAGAGAGGATCAAATTGTGAAGAACCTTGACTACTAAGCTGAGAGATTTGAACTTCCCTTTTTAGGCTATCAGAAGAAATGGTTTTGTTGCAGAACAGGGTCATGTACTGGTCTATATTTTAGGAAGAGAATGCTGATAGAAGCATGCAGAGTATGTTGAAGGAGGGATTGAAGGCAATCCCTCCTTGGAGGGATTTTGTTATGTTTTAGTTGGAGATATTTTGTTATTTCTCAAACACAAAACTTTAGAGGTATATATTTTCTCAGACTTAGAGCTTGGCTAATTTTTTTTTTTCTGCTTGATGGATTAATAGAAAGCATGTTGCTCTATTACCACTACTTTTTTCTTTGTTATCGGTCTGGGTAGGAATGGGAATAGGGTTGCCTGTGCACTTGTGTGCAAAGAAAACCTTTAAATCGTCCCAGTGCTTTTTATTTGAAAGATATATTATCTTTTGCCCCAGAGCACAAGCTGTGGGAGAAACAAAATGACCAATTTCAATATTATTGACATTATAAACATTTATACTGAAGACAAACCAAAGAATAACTTAGAGTGTTAAATGTCCATTCTGTTATAGAAGAGATGGCCTTTCTCTTTTTTCTTCGTGTTGAACAGGGAAATTTTACATGGGACCTGAGAAGAGGAGACACCAATATTGCATCAGATCTAGAAATAATCATACCATTCTGCTAGAGATATGCCATAATAAAATAAGTTTCCTGAATAGGTAAAGGCTTACATTGAAACATATAGGGATTCATACAAGGAAGTGTTAATTTAAGACTCTTTTATCAAATGACCACAGATAGTTAGCTAGTGTATTAGTCCATTCTCATGGTGCTATAGTGAACTGCCTGAGGCCAGGTGTGGTGGCTCATGCCTGTAATCCTAGCACTTTGGGAGACCAAGATAGGTGGCTCACCAGAGGTCAGGAGATTGAGACCAGCTTGGCCAGTTTGGTAAAACCCTGTCTCTACCAAAAAAAGAAAATGAGCTGGGCATGGTGGCACGTGCTTGTAATCTCAGTTACTTGGGAGGCTGAAGTGGGAGAATTGCTTGAACCTGGGAGGTGGAGGTTGCAGTGAGCCAAGATTGTGCCACTGCACTCCAGCCTGGGTGACAGAGTTAGATCCTGTCAAAAATTAAAAAAAAAAAAAAAAACTGCCTGAGACTGGGTAATTTGTAAAGGAAAAAGGTTTAATTTACTCAGTTCCACAGGGCTGGAGAGGCTTCAGGAAACTTACAATCATGGTGGAAGGGGAAGCAAACACATCCTTCTTCACATGTCAGCAGGAAGGAGAAGTGCTGAGCAAAAGAAGGAGAAGCCCCTTATAAAACCATCAGATCTTGTGATAACCCACTCACTATCATGAGAACAGCATGAGGGCAACCACCCCCATGATCCAATTACCTCCCATCCGGTCACTCCCATGACGTGTGGGGATTATGGGAACTACAATTCAAGATGTGATTTGGGTGAGGACACAGCCAAATTATATCATTCCTCCCCAGCCCCCCTCCCAAATCTCATGTCCTCACATTTCAAAACACAGTCATCACTTTCCAACAGTCCCCCAAAATCTTAACTCTTTCAAGTATTAACCCAAAAGTCCAAGTCCAAAGTCTCATTTGAGACAAGGCAAGTCCCTTCTGCCTATGAGCCTGTAAAATCAAAAGCAAGTTAGTTACTTCCTAGATACAATGGGGGTACAGGCATTGATTAAATACACCCATTCCAAATGGGAGAAATTGGCTTAAACATAGGGGCTATAGCATGTAACATGTAATATAACATGTAAGTCCAAAATCCCGTGGGGCAGTCAAATCGTAAAGTTCCAAAATGAACCCCTTTGAGTCCATGTCTCACTTTCCGATCATGCTGATGCAAGACGTGAACTCGCATGGCCTTGGGCAGCTCTGCCCCTGTGGCTTTGCAGGGTACAGCCCCACTCTCAGCTGCTCTCAAAGGCTAGCATTGAGTTTCTGTGGCTTTTCCAGGTGCACAGTGCAAGCTGTTGATGGACCTACAATTCTGGGGTCTGGAGGACAGTGGCCCTCTTCTCACAGCTCCACTAGGCAGTGCCCCAGTGGGGACTTTCTGTAGGGGATTCAACTCCACATTTCCCTTCTGCATTGCCCTAGCAAAGGTTCTCCATGAGGGCTCCACCCCTGCAGGAGACTTCTGCCTGGAGATACCAGTGTTTCCATAGATCCTCTAAAGTCTAAGTGGAGATTCCCAAACCTCAATTCTTGTTTTCTGTGCACCCACAGGACCAACACTACATAGAAGCTACCAAGGCTTGGGGCTTACACTCTCTAAAGCAACAGCCTGAGCTGTACCTTTACCCCTTTTAGCCATGGCTGGAGCTGCTGGGATTCAGGGCACTAAGTCCCTAGGCTGCACACAGCATGGAGACCCTGGGCCTGACCCATAAAACCATTTTTCCCTCCTAGGCCTCCATGCCTGTGATGGGAGGGCTGCTGCGAAGGTCTGTGACATTCCCTGGAGACATTTTTCCCATTGTCTTGGTGATTAGCATTTGGCTCCTTGTTACTTATGCAAATTGCTGTAGCTGGCTTGAATTTCTCTTCAGAAAGTAGGTTTTTCTTTTCTACTGCATTGTCAGGCTGCAAATTTTCCAAACTCTTATGCTCTGTCACCTCTTGAATGCTTTGCTGCTTAGAAATGTTTTCCACCAGATACTCTACATAATCTCTCTCAAGTTCAAAGTTCCACACATCTCTAGGGCAGGAGCAAAAAACCGCCAGTCTCTTTCCTAAAGTATAGCAAGAGTGACCTTTAATCCAGTTCCCAACAAGTTCCTTATCTCCATCTGAGACCACCTCTGCCTCGACCTCATTGTGCATATCACTATCAACATTTTGGTCAAAGCCGTTCAACAAGTCTTTAAGAATTTCCACACTTTCCCAAATCTTCCTGTCTTCTGAGCCCTCCAAGTCTCGAGGAAGTTTCAAACTTTCCCATATTTTCCTGTCTTCTTCTGATCCCTCCAAATGGTTCCAGTTTCTGCCTGTTACCCAGTTCCGAAATTGGTTCCACATATTTGGGTATCTTTACAGCAGCACCCCACTACTCCCAGTACCAATTTACTGTATTAGTCCATTCTCACGCGGCTGTAAAGAACTGCCCAAGACTGGGTAATTTATAAAGGAAAGAAGTTTAATTGGCTCACAGTTCAGCAGGGCTGGGGAGGACTCAGGAAACTTACAATCATGGTGGAAGGGGAAGCAAACACATCCTTCTTCACATGGGGGCAGGAAGAAGTGCCTAGCAAAAGGGGAAAAAGCCCCTTATAAAAGCATCAGATCTTGTGAGAACTCACTATCACAAGAACAGCATGAGGGTAACTGCCCCATGTTGGGAGAAAAGCTGAGTGTTGGGAGAGAAGCTGAGGCAGGGCTTGCATATCTGACATAATGTAAAAGAGTCTTGGAACATGTCTGGGGTCCAGGGTCTAAAACCTCTTGTGGCCTTTGGAATGTGTCTAGACTTGCTGGCTCCTTGCTTCTAGCACTGCCATTATCTCAAGTAGCCATATGTTTCAAAGAAAATGTTAAACCGTCACAGCTTTAGCTCAGTCGCTTAATACACCGCTTCCTTTCAACCCCCACATCCTCACCATCTGTTTCTTTGTTTGATCACCAATAAATAGCATGGGCTTCCAGAGCTCAGGGCCTTCGCAGCTTCCATACTAGCATTGGCCCCCTGGTCCCACTTTATCTCTTAACTTGTCTTTTCTCATTCCTTTGACTCCTCCGGACTTTGTAGCCCCCATGGCCTGGTGTTGGGTCTGATCACCCCAACAGCCCCAGTGATTCAATTACCTTCCACCTGTTCCCTCTCACAACATATGGAGATTATGGGAACTAAAATTCAGGATGATATTTGGGTGGGAACACAGCCAAATCATATCAGCAAGTGATTGTAACTAGTAAAAAAGGAAATGTTTAGATTATGATACTGAAGATTTTAGGCATAGACTTTATTTAGTATCTAAAATGATGCCATCAAATCTCTTTTGGTATTTTTCTCTGCCTCTGTTGATTTCTCTGTTGATTTTTCTCTGCCTGTATAGATTTGCATTCTACTAGTTGACTTCATTCTCTATCAGGCTGTCCTCATAAGATAGCAGAGAAAGTCATGAAAGTGTCAAGGTATTTAGCACTTAAATGATCTTTGAAAGAGACAAAAAGTTTTCCGCAAAAGCTCTAGGAAGAATTGTGATTGGCCTGGTTTGGACCAAGTATCCATATGTGAGCCAATTGCCATAGCAGGAACTAGGAATATGTGTTCCTCTGATTGGCAAGATTTGGGTTACATGCCCACCCTGAGAGCCAACTGTTGTCCTATGATTGGTGGAGAAATGGCCCCTGAAAGCAAAACATTCCTTTTTCTTTAGGAGGAGGAAGAGGTGCTGGTGGTACAAAAATAACCATCTCTGCTATTGGTGCTTAGGACAGATAAGCATTGACAGGCAGCTTTCAAATTTAGTTACTGTTTTTACTACGCGCACTTCTGGACACAGAATAAAGTTCTCTTTAGAGTGAAGATTTTGCCAATGCCCTTTCCAGCAACTCTTTTGAATGTAGTTAGCCCAGTGGCATAATTTATAGCTTTGTTGTCCTTTGACTCTGTAGCAATTACTTTTGTAACTTAAAAAAAAAAAATCATTCCCAAGAGGGCTTAAAATAGAGGGTGGGGATCTGACCAAGTCTGAGATCAAGGGATTCTGCTCTTGGCTAATGAGATGTTTTGGTTTTATATTTTGAAATGTTCAAAATCAACATTCCAAGTAGAGAAAGAAAGTGTCCTGTAACTCCCAACCTCCTGTCTGGCTCAACCACTGTCTCACTAACCCTTTACCTATTTTCCTGCCTCTTATCCTCTCCTCTTCTATTGTCAACACCTCCCTCTCTTCTCTAGCTTTCTTTCTCTAGCTTGTCTGTTTGATATTGCACAAAGATCACTTCCTTGCATCAATTAGAAGAGTTTATGCTCTATGAGCATTTGGGGGATTTTGGAATGCCATTTTTTGTGTCATGCCCTTACTTTCCATAATTGCCTTGATACCACTGAAATAATGATGCAGTCTTTTATTTGAGTCTTCCAGTTGGCACAATGGCTTAAATATGAACAATTTCTAGAACCAAAGAAATATTCATGTTACTATCTGGCTAGCTAGCTAGTTATCTATTGTAGCATTTACCAGGAAAAAAAAAAGCAATGGCAATAGAACACAAATTAGCATTATTGTTATTATTACTGAGACAGAGTCTCACTCTGTCACCAGGCTGCCGTGCAGTGGCACAATCTCGGCTCACTGCAGCCTCCAACTCCCTGGTTCAAGGGATTCTCCTGCCTCAGCCTCCCAAGTAGGTGGGATTGCAGGCATGTGCCACCACGCCTAGCCTAGAACACTAATTATTAAAAATAAAGTACTTCTAACTGTATAAATTTAAAAATACACTGTAATAATTCTGTTTTGGCCTTTCTTGTCTCAACCTCATCAATGTTTTGTTTAGATATACCTCCAGTATTGAAATATTAATATCATATTCCTATATGAGCTTTCAAATAACATTTTCTGAAATTCACCTGACCTTGTTAATTCTTGACCCTTGGAGTACTAGATTCTGTTCAGGTTCCAGCTGTCTTTATGGAACAGCCTCACTCCTAAAGAAGCCAATCTTTAAATAGGCTACCTCTTCAGGCTTTTATAATACAGGCAGATTCTGACTTAAAATTTATTCCTAACTGACTGATTGATTGTTTTTCATTGTTATTTTATTTCCCCTCTAAGGATTTTGTCACAATGACTAAAAAAAAATCTTTTACAAAAAAAATTTATTGTTTTCCTATACAGTAAAGAAAGGTTAAATTAACATTTAACAAAGTCCTTCCAAGTTAAATGTAAAGCAATTTCATTGCATTTGATTCACATGTGAAGGTACAGAATGGAAGTAAGGACTTCCTTCCCAATTTCATGTAGGTCATACTTACACCTTCATTTTCAGCAGAAGAAATGATATGAATATTATATCCTAGTCAGTGTTTACTGTAGGTAAGGCAGCATAACTGTGAGTCTCAGGAGGATGATTCTTTGAAGGCAGAGGCAAGTATTATCATTAACCAAAACTTTTGGAAAGAAAAAAGAATAAGGGTTTTCAGTTGGTATATAGACTATTTCTTAGAAATCAAGGAGAAAGTTATTAGATTAAAATATGTAAAGAAAAATTTATGAAAAGATCCTCATTTAAATGTAACTTTTTTAAGTTAAATCAAGGGGAAAACCTTACCTTAATTTAGTGCAATGCTCTAAAGCAGGATTTACATAGTTGTGAGTTGCCTACCGATTCACTGAAACTTGAATGTTGGTCATGGCAGATGCTCATATCACCCACCCCCTGGCTTAAGAACAATTGGTGAGACCTCTTTGTATTCACCAATATTCATGCAAAGGTGGGAAATGAAGGAGGAGACCAGAGGTTCCTGCTCCTGTGGGGTAAACTTGTCCTCTGTGAACTCCAGTTCAGAGCACTAGATTATGTCATACTCCTTTTTATGTAGATATAGAAATACGGTCTTGCCTAGAATACTGTATACCTTCATTAATTTTTATCAATAACATGTTTAGGTTATCAGTACACCGAGGTTTATGTTCCTGTTCCCAGTAATTAAAATCCCACAGGAGACTCTGAGGAGAGAAGATTGTTCTTCATGCATCAAGGTAAAATCCTGAATGCATTTTTCAGTACACAAAGTATTGGGATTACTAGTTTGGAAAATGAAGAGATTTTCTCCAGGTGCCATACTGATTGCTTAGATTTTTTGGTAGGACAAATTGGCAGCATATTTACATGAGGGAGTTAAACTGACTGGTAAAAACACTGGCGTGTGATGTTTCCAGTTCAGTTCTATCACTTACTACTAGGAATATGGCCCTGGTTAAATTACTTTGCCTATTTTGTCATTGTGTGCTTAAAATATAATAGGATTTTTAAAATATAATGGGATTGGGTTATTCTTAAAATATAGTGAGATTGGGTTATTGGGTTAAAAGAAAGGGGTTGACTTCCAGATGAAGATTCAAATCCCTTCTAGCACTAGAAGATCTGGTTCCCAGGATTATCCACAAATATACAGAGACACTAACATTTTTTTTTGCCTTCATCCAAGCATATAATGTTTATAAAAGCTCTTTTAAAATATAAAAGTTTAAATAATATGATTCAGATTTCTTAAAATGTTGACTTATGTATGATCCTTCGGATTAAAATTCATTTTCAGCTTGGCTGAACTAATTGACATTCCCAACAATATTGAATAGGAGTTCCCTTTTCTCCGCAGCGTCTATTATTTTGTGCTTTTTAATAATTGCCAGTCTGACCGATGTGAGGTGATTTTCATTATCTCATGATTTTCATTTGCATTTCTCTGATGATTAGTGATGACATTAGTTTTAAATGGTAAATGCTTAAACTGCTGATAAACTCTATTTGTAATCAGTTTAAGAAAATCAATTTTCTGGAAATGTCACTTCTGTAGCAGCCCTCTCCGACCCTATCCCACACCTCATCTAAATGAGTAATATAACATTTTACCTAGTCCCATTCTTTCATATTTTTGAGCTTTGAGAATCTTTTTAAAAATTAAATATAATATGGCAAAAATTTTACTGCTTAAAAATCTATCAAGCTGTTCAGTTGTGTTTTTTTTTTGCCATTTTCAGACTAACTATATGACTCAAGACCATGAAAAATTGCTCATTGCAGTGGAACCCACTATTCTTTTGATTCAACATGCTACTGACAGTTATGAAGTAGTAAAGGGCTTTCTATTACCCATAATGCATTTTGAAACTTCAGTGCCCAGAGATTTTTTTCCCCAAAAACAGTTATTCCTCTTAGCTGTTTCAAGAACTTTGAAAATGTTTGAATAAATTTTCAAATCTCAAGTAAGCTTTTCTTTCTGTCTGCTGAGAGACATAGATCGTCTCCCCATATGGCAGCTGATTTAACCCCCTACTCCTTTCTCACCAGAAATCTCACCAGAAACCCCATGCACTAACTTCAAAAACATCGTCTACTTCTTGACCTTTCTATCTGTAGCTCTCCATCTCAGTCTGTCACTTTGAATAAGCAAGCTAGTTCATGATATCAAAATATTTGTGTAAATGGAACCAGTCATAATTTATTGCTTCTAAAATTATTTCATGGGATTGTGGTAGGCACTGTTTTTGCTGAGGTATTGGGGTTAATCTCAGTGGAAATGAGGCCTGCATTGTATGTTATCTTAGTGTACTTTGAGAAAAAAATGTCAAATTGCAGCAGTTTACCTACTGTTTATCTGGATTAAGAACATCCAAAAAAGTGATTATAATAGTTTGATATCATGCTGCAAATTGTGACACTCCTCTTTAAAACTTAGCAAGATTCAGATATTTGTTTACATGTCTCAAGATCTGTAATATGAGGATTTTCCCAAGAGATAAAAATGAAGGTCCAAAATTCTATTCCAAGTTTTCTGTGTAATATACAAAGAAGGAAAAAGAGAAGGTATGAAATAAAGGAGGGAAGTAGAGAGTAAGGAAGGAAGAAAGAAGGGAGGGAAGAAGATACCTCTCAATGTTTCAGGCCATTTGCACTGCATTCATTTTCTGATGCTCTCAAGTTATTGAGATCCTGGGTAGAGAACCCAAGCAAATAGTTGTTATGTAATAAATGCTACAATATGTTGATTCCTACTATTTGCCAAGCCTTGAACTAGGTTGGTTATCCACAACTCTAATCTTTACAGCAGTCCTTCAAGGAGTAGGTATCATTATTCCCTATTTTACAAGGAAGCTTACTTACAGGCTGAAAGAGGATATAAAAATTATCTAAGTTTAAAGAGCAAGTAAATTGTAGAGATAGTATTCACACCTTTGCTCTAAGATATGCTATTATATAAGAATAAAATTATCACTTTTTCTATTAGCTGTTAAATTATTTGCTAGGCAAAACGAAAAAGTTACTGTCTTTCCTGTTCATCATAAAACTAAATAAAAATAACACCTTGTTAAAGAGTGTAAATTATTAAGTAATGTAAGTTTAATCACATAAACAATTTACTCTTATTTGATGATTTTGACAAT
This sequence comes from Homo sapiens, assembly GCF_000001405.40. Classification (NCBI taxonomy): domain Eukaryota; kingdom Metazoa; phylum Chordata; class Mammalia; order Primates; family Hominidae; genus Homo; species Homo sapiens. The sequence continues at coordinate 156,833,508 of NC_000004.12, read as the reverse complement.
AAAGTATGTGGTTTACAGCACATAACTCCATTCCAAAACTGTTTGCAAACAGGCATTTATGTTCCTCAAATATTTTAAGATTGGTGCAAAGTTAAAGTTTATTCTCTCTGTTTCATTGTGCAGCAGTTAGATTATGTGAACATTTACTTTCCTATAGTCACAGACTTAATACGTGCTTATTGAATATCCACTACTAAAGAAGCCTGAGTTACACAGTAGAAGCATTAACATAGTCTCTGCCTCAGCGAACCTTTTAACTAGCCGGAGATATCTATGCTTGTGAAACAAGAAAGAAACAAAATCTTATTAAATTAAATGCTGTGTTGTGAAGAATAAAACATATTTGCAAAAGGTAGAAGTCTGAACAGAAATGTACAGCCTTGTGGAGGCCATCAGCAGGCCCACTGCCAAGAAACTTCAAAAGTTGATATTTGCCTTCAGAAATTCACCACTTGAATGTGGCCTTTTGCTGGGATGACTCAAAATCTGATTTCAACAGTACATTAAACAGTGATCAGTTTCTCAATGACAGATCCATATGAACCAAACTCTCAAAATACCAACCCGTAAGCCAGAATTAAATGGATTACATTTAACTGAAAAGTATAAGTAGTCCCCCAGGGGCCAGCCAGTCAGAGGATTGGTTGCAGGACTGCCCACATACACCCAAATCCGCATATACTATAGTCCAGCAGCAGGCCCTGCAGACCGACATATTGGAAAAGTCGGCCCTGTATATACATGGGTTTTGCATTCCTGAAATACTGTACTTTGCAAGTTTGGTTGAAAAAATTCCACATAATACTGGACCCACGCAGTTCAAACGCCCGTTGTTCAGGGGTCAACCATATACTGCTAGAAATCCTGGTTAGTTAAAGAAAATAACGGCCATTGATGGTTTCGAATGTGGTATATGTGGCTTATATACCACTTGTGTTTTAAGAAAATGGCATGGGCCAGGCATGGTGGCTGACACCTATAATCCCAGCACTTTGGGAGGCAGAGGCGGGTGGATCACGAGGTCAGGAGTTCGAGGCCAGCCTGGCCAACATGGCGAAACCCTGTCTCTACTAAAAATACAAAAATTAGCCAGGCATGGTGGCGGGTGCCTGTAATCCCAGCTACTCAGGAGGCTGAGGCAGGAGAATCGCTTGAACCCGAGAGGCGGAGATTGTGGTGAGCCGAGATCGTGCCATTGCACTCCAGCCTGGGCAACAAGAGCAAGACTCCATCTCAAAAAAAAAAAAAAAAAAAAGAAAGAAAGAAAGAAGGTGGCATGATAAAATGAGGCCTGTTTTTAAGGAAGATAAGCCTTGAAGTGGTGTGGAGAAATAGTGCATGGAGGGAGGAGAAGAAAGAGTATTGGCTATAGATGCCTTATGGGAGACAACTGGAATAATTTCTAATATTAAGTTAATGAGGACCAGTAATAATGGCATTTCCATATTAAGAGAGAAACTAGAAAAAAAATTTTAAAAGAGAAAACTATTTGAAGTAACAGTTTATAGGATGGGGTGTGTGTAATAAATAGACCATGGAATTAAAACCCAGCAAGTTGCATAAACTGTATAAACTAGTGTGCCAAATGTATATAGCAAATCAAAGTGCTCACTGTGGGAATAGTGAGCATGTGAGAAGATGAAGGATGATTGATATTATAATAAGGTTTGAAAAATTGTATCTAATTTATTACTCGAAATACAGTCTAGTGTCCTTGTTTTTAAAAAGCCAGTTACATTTTTTTTTCTTTTTTCAAGAGACAGGGTTGGCCGGGTGTGGTAGCTCACACCTGTAATCCTAGCACTTTGGGAGGCCGAGGTGGATGGATCACTTGGTCAGGAGTTGGAGACCAGCCTGGCCAACATGAAGAAACCCCATCTCTACTAAAAATACAAAAATTAGCTGGGCGTGGTGGCACATCCCTGTGGTCCCAGCTATTCAGGAGGCTGAGGCAGGAGAATTGCTGTAACTCGGGAGGTGGAGGTTGCAGTGAGTCGAGATCATGGCACTGCACTCCAGCCTGCGCGATAGAGCAAGGCTCCATCTCAAAAAAAAAAAAAAAAAAAAAAGACAGGGTCTCATTATGTTGTCTAGGCTGGCCTCAAACTCTTGGGCTCAAGGGATCCTCCTGCCTCAGCCACCCAACTAGCTAGGAATACCAGCATGTACCACTGCACCCAGCTAAATTTTTAGAAAATTAGGTATACTTATATTTAATGTGAATAACCACAATTAGAGAAAAAAATGTTCAAGAGTACAAATATTGGTTATATGGGGATATTTCAACAGCACAAGTGTAATTTTGACTAGTCGATTGCCTACTCTGTGCATATTTGTGTATGAACATGTATGTTACTCTATTATGTATGTGCGAATTCACTCCTCTGTCTATCCATCCATCACTCAACAGTCATATAGTCCTCTCTATGTATGGAGGAAATACCATGCTAAATATTGGGGATACAAAGATTATTAGATGGGCCCCTGGCCTCTGGAAAGCATTGAATAGTAAAGGGATAGGCATACAAAAAATATAATTCTAAATAGTCATGGGTGTGGTAGGGACCATGCTGCAAAGACATTGCAATCTCTGCCTATAGGACTCACAGAAGGCATCTCTGAGGAGTAATATTTAGCTGAAATCTGAAGGAGAAGTGGAAGTGGGCCAAGTGAAGTGGAGAAAGTTATAGTATTGGTAGTAAATAACTTAATTGATCACATTTTTCAATATTGAGCATGGAATCTTTTGTTTTAAAGAATTGCATGCTCGATATTTTGAAAGCCACCATTAGATAGTTTTTAAGAATATCCAATGAAATGTACCACCGTATGTGCTTGGAACCCATTAGTCATAACTTGGTGATATAAAGTACGTTCTTGACCTATGACAGGACTATTATTGCTGGAGTTGCTGTACCAAAAAATGTGATCATATTTGCCATCTGGTGAAATATACTGTCTCGCCCAGGTTGAGGTCCACAAGTGACTAAATGACCAAAATGACTAAAGCCCTAAGTAGCCCACAATTACTCAGTTGCCTGTAGGTCCACATGGAGAATGGAAAGTTGTGTTTCATCAGATCTCTGAACTGAAGGTCATGGTGGGGGCAGGGAAAGGATGCACAGTGCTTTATCTTTTATTTTCCTTTGTAGTTTGAGGTGCGTAAGTTCTCATATCAACCAAATGGAATGGTATAATGCTAGTGCCATAGTGTCACACAGTTGACAAGGTCTGAGGACATGAAGTTTTTTTTTTTTTTAATGCAATTCCTGTCTTCAAAGAGCTTATTTTTAGAATTGTATTTGCTGTATATTTTAAGACACTTAAATATGTACTTTTCATATTTTAATTCTACTTTATATAAAAATACTTATAATTTTTCAACTTAGTAATTGAAATCAGAGTAAGTAAATTGCTACAAATGGCCAATTGTTGGACCTCAGTTTTGCTTATATGTGTAACAATTAACACAGCTTTTCAGATACATTTTTGAAGTAATGGGCCCTGTTTCTATTTGGTTCTATTAAATTAGTGAAGTAGTACTAGTGGGAAGGTTCTCACACTACCAAGTGGTTTGAGACTCTTGTACTTAATTTTTATTTTTGTTGTCTATAAGATTAATAAAATTGAGAAGTGATGCACGATTGATCCTTGGTGTTTGCAGAGAGGGATATTGAGGCTCAGTGAAATAAATGGGTAGATAAAAATTCTGAATATATGAATATAACTCACGAGATAATAATAGCTTTTATTTAAAAGCTATCCTACCTCTTCTGTCAAGGAGAGAAAAATCTAAGAAATAACATCTGTAACAAAAGAGGAAATGAAGTGAGTGATATAATTGAAACTGTCAAAAACTGCCAAATTTTCTGGTGACACAAGAGACTATCAAAGGATATGGTAGGAATCCTAGATATTAAAGCACTTTGAAGGGGTAATTTTAACAGGATAAAGCAATAAATAAATAGAGAGCAAGAGGAAAATTTTAAAGTGAGAAAAAGAAAGTAAAATAAACCTAGGGCCAAAAAATCTCTGCCTAGGGATATTGCCCAGGATGGTAGATTTAGCCAAGTGGGCACTCGGCCTAGAATTTCTTATTTCCCTTTTCATGCTACAAAATATGAAGTAATAGCCTTAGCAGGACTTATTACAATGATGAAATCACCTAACAATCTGAAATGCTGCTTCCCTTTATGTGAAGATATTTGTTTTGTTTTGCTTCTTGAGAAATGGCAGTCTGTCTTTCTTCTTAATTCCTCGTTCAACAATCCATTTCTGTGAAAAATATAATCCTGTATATTCCATAAACCCCTTGGCATTGGAAATAAGAGTGATGATCTTAGTAGATCATAAGAGTTAGAAAGTTGTTTTCCTACTTTTAACATGTGATAGGAATAAGATTACTTCTATTTCTAATTTCTCAAATTCTAAATTTCTCATAATAGAAGTTAAATTATTTTTCTTTTGTTCAATATCTGAAGTTTCAGAAAATATTAATGTCTGTACTTCACTAAATTTCCATTAAATAGTTTAGTTTCCACAGAATCCCATTCTCTAGTGAAGATTGATTTTCTTAAAATTGCTAAGTAAACTTTAATTTTAAAAAATGTGTATACCCACTTTAGCTAATTCTGCCTCTGGAGTCTGCATTTTTTTGGATATTTTTATGTTGTTTACAGTATTCCAAGTGATTGATTTTATTGATTGGTCATGAATATTCTTAAAGTATATACAAGCTTACTTAGGAAGTAATATATAAATGAAAGTGATGTAAGTAGAATTTTACCTGTTCTATCTGTACGTTAAATATACCATAAGAGCACACACATGCTAATTATATTTCCAGAATACAATTATATATACATGCATATATATACACACACATATACATAATTACATATATACATATGTATACACACATTATTTTTATAATGGTCACTGAAGAAAAGGGAGAAAAAGCAAAAAACCAGTCAAAATTTCTGATAGCTCTTTGAGTCATTCTTGTACCTTAAATTAGAAAACAGAGGTAAATTTCTTTCCTAGAAATCTGGAACACTAATGGAGTTTTCATTAGATAATTAAAACCTCTGCCACTTATTAAGCACGGTCTTGATGCCGGATCTCATCTGTCATTACTTCTTGAAACTGTTCTGATTGGCTCTGTATCTGTTAAGAAGTAAAGGACATAATCTGTATCAGAAGAGTGAGATGGGGCATGTGTCAGGTGTATCCCAAAGTGTGCTTTTGTGTTCTAAACGGTGACCTTTTAAAGTGTGATTTGCGCTGCAAAATGTATAAGAAAAAGGATTTTGTGCTGTTAGAAGGCACTTGTGGTCTGCAGTAGTCAGAGATCTCCAGAGCCAGAGTGCTCCCTCACCCGTCAGCACTTTGGAAGAGTTTTGTGAAAGTGACAGAGTGAGAAAGAGGTATTATATTATATAACATTTCCGGCGGAAGTAGCTTCATTTGCCTCAATGGGACGAGAGCTTCTCCTGATCTTTGGCCTGCATGTTCGGAGGAGAGGCCTTGCAAAGTCCAGGACTCCACTGTTTCACGCATTTGCTTTGCCTCTTAACACTCCCATGTGTACATGTGTGTTTTCTTATTTCCTAATAGCAAATCTTTGAGGACCTCATCATATACTGGTGTTTATAGTTGGTTGCCATGGATTGGATATTACTTGTAGAAAATTATTGTCTTTGGTGATAACAGTGCTGTATTGACCTTGGAAAATAATAAAATTTTCTGGCAAATGTAGTAATGGGTATGTGTGTGTATGTATGTACGTATGTGGGTATTGCGTAAGCATGTAGTCTAAGCTGCATATTTTTTGACATAACAGCACACATCTAACTAAATGTGATTTTGTTCTTAAACAAGAAAAAAAAAACTAAGATTTAAAAAAATGGTCCACAGGACCATTGGATTTAGTTTTTTGTTTTGCTGAAGAGGAACCTGAAGTCTAAGCCATTTTTATATTGAACACCTACTTCTTTAGAATCATCAGTCATCAGTCAGCATTGAAATGCTCTGCTCATTTGCTTGCGTTTGTCGAAGTACAAGTGTATCAATCTGTTATTTTTTTTTTTTTTGAGATGGAGTCTCACTCTGTCACCCAGGCTGGAGTGCAGTGGCGTGATCTCCCCTCACTGCAACCTCTGCCTCCCACATTCAAGCGATTCTCCTGCCTCAGCCTCCCGAGTAGCTGGGACTACAGGTGCCCGCCACCACACCCGGCTAATTTTTTGTATTTTTAGTAGAGACGAGGTTTCACCATGTTAGCCAGGATGGTCTCAATCTCCTGACCTCGTGTTCCGCCCACCTTGGCCTCCCAAAGTGCTGGAATTTCAGGCGTGTGCCACTGTGCCCAGCCAATCTGTTCTTACTAAAGGCAAATTTTGAATAATGAATTATCTTGGATGAACAGAATTTTTCTTAAGCTTCAGAGAGTATTTTTCCAGATGCATTTATAGGAAACCATTTCATTATAGAATAGATATTCATTAAACATAAATGCTTAAAATACTTCAAAAATGCTCATATTTGGGAACTGTACCTGAAATTCTCTAATATCCTAAAAGGAACAATATTTTTATTTCACTTTGGTTTGTTCTAAAACAAACTCATTTTTCATTTTCATGGACATCACCAAGACCTAAATTTGTATATATAAATGAAGAATTAAAATGGCTTATGCTGCTGGTCAGCTGTTTAAATATTTTCTTTTAAAATCAGGGTTGAAGTCATGGTATTGCTTTGATAGGCCTTTAATCCTTTTCAAATTTTATTATCATGCTACTTAAATGTTTCTCTCAGCTTTTTATAAATCCATATCTAAAGTCCATCACCTTTTGCAAATGTAGCAATAATACAGAGCAGATAAAAGTTGAAAGAATCTAACCTATAGTAAATCCTTTAAAGATGCCTTGATTAATTGTAAAATGATAAAAATTTGACTCATCTTCACCTTAAACAGAAAATAATTTCCTTTACAGTCACCAAAAATTACAATGGCATGGTGGCTCATTCCTGTACCCCAACACTTTGAGAGGCCAAGCTGGATGGACCACCTGAGGTCAGGAGTTCAAGACCAACCTGGCTAACAGGGTGAAACCCTGTCTCTACTAAAAATACAAAAATTAGTTGGGCGAGGTGGCAGGTGCCTGTCATCCCAGCTACTCACAGCTACTCAGGAGGCTGAGGCAGGAGAATCGCTTGAACCCGGGAGGCAGAGGTTGCAGTGAGCCGAGATCACACCACTGCACTCCAGCCTGGGCAACGAGAGTGAAACTCCATCTCAAAAAAAAAAAAAAAAAAAAAAAAAAAAAAAAAAATCCAACTCAAAGCTGGATATGGTGGCTCATGACTGTAATCCCAGCCCTTTGGGAGGCCAATGTGGGAGGATTGCTTGAGCCCAGGGTTTGAGCAGCAGCCTAGGCAATAAAGACCCCTTCTCTAAAAAAATTTGAAAAATTAACCTGGCCTGGTAGTGTGTACCTGTAGTCCCAGCTACTTGGGAGGCTGAGGCAGGAGGATCCCTTGGGGCTAGGAGTTAAAGGTTGCAATGAACTATGATTGTGCTACTGCACTCTAATCTAGATGACAGAGTGAGACTGTCTTCAAGAAAAAAAAAAAAAAGAAAATTGCATAATCATACTAACATGTTCCTGACTTTTTATAGATATGTTTAGGCAACACTGTTCAGCTATACAAAGAACATAATTTAGTTGAGAGGAAAACAGTGTATCAAAGAAGGAGCAGCCTATAGGGTCCCTTCCGACAGAGAGTAAACTACAAGTTTCTTATACCTGGAACACTCTTGCCATTGGGTAGGTGAGAGAATATATTTATAGCCCTTCTTTCTTTTCTTCTTCTTCTTCTTCTTCTTCTTCTTCTTCTTCTTCTTCTTCTTCTTATTATTATTATTATTATTATTATTATTATTATTATTATTATTTGGAGACAGGGTGTTGCTCTGTCAGAAAGTCTATAGTGTGGTGGTGAGATCATGGCTCACTGCAGCCTTGACCTCCCATTCTCAAGTGATCCTCCCACCTCAGCCTCCCCAGTAGCTGGTACTACAGGCAGGCATCACCAGCCTGGGAATTTTTTTTTTTTTTTTGGTAGAAACGGGGTTTCACCATCTTTCCCAGGCTATTCTTGAACTTCTGAGCTTAAGCAGTCTGCCCACCTTGGCTTCCCAAAGTACTGGGATTACAGACGTGAGTCACCACGCCTGGCCTTAAATTTTTATGCCCTTTAAGTATGCCTTGATGTGGACATTCCCATCTCTATATTCCTAGATACCCTAAACTCAGTAGTTGGAATGCATTTGAGGAGGGCCTACCCTTTTCCTGCATCTGCCTACCTCGACTGTGTTCAAAGTAGAAGGGGAAATGGCAAAATGATAATCCATGAGGTAAAAATTTTACTTAAATCTAGATATGTTAATTTTATTTCTTAAATTTAGTTTCTCAAATTTCTTTCAATAATGCGGTGATTTAGTTGTTGGCACATGTATTAAGGCATTATGTCTATGAACTGTTACTTAATTATGACTGATTTAATAGTGACTCACTCTATATATGCTCTACAGACAGCCACATACCACAGGGCATCACACCCAGCAGGCCTAAATATTAATGAGGTTTTTATAAAACTAATTACAAGAAAGTCTCTCATGGAGAGTACAGAAGGTGGTCCCTAGAAGAGAGAGGACTATGAATAGTGTCCTTTGTCATGGAAGCCATCTCTCAGTTAACATTAGATGTATTAGATGCCTAAATCTTGGCATTATTTCAGTAATAGTACAATGGTATGAGGTGATGTTTCCGTAAAAGTGCTTATCTACACATAGGTAGTAGCTGACTGAAGATAGGTAATCACTTATGTCAGGAACTGATCAGTCATAGGAAAGAAATGCTGAGCCAAGTAGGTGAGCACTTTTTATACATGAATGCATTTAATCCTATGGGTTACAAAATGCAGAAACAAAAATTAAGTACTCAATATTTTTGCTAGTTGTTGATGAATCTGTCTTCTACTACAGTGAAGGGAGTGTTAATTATGGTAAACGTGTATATATATGTGTGTGTGTATATATGTGTGTATATATATGTGTGTGTATGTATGTATGTGTGTGTATATATGTGTGTATATGTGTGTGTGTGTGTGTGTGTGTATATATATATATATATATATATATATATATATATATATATATGCTTACATTGTTCTAGACGGGTTAAATTCAGGACAGTTACTCCCACAGATAAGAAGGGCAAAAAGCCTAGTTTTGGAGCCTCTTTAGTTGAAATTAGTGATCTTTGCTCACAGTGTAGTGCAATAGGTTACTAAAACTTATTCCTACAGTCTAACGAAAACTTTGTACCCTTTGATCAACATCTTCTCTTTCCTCATCCATTCCAACTCCCTCTAGGCTCTGGTAACCACCTTTCTAATTTCTGTTTCTATGAGAGCAACTTTTTTAGATTTCACATATAAATGAGATCATTTAGTACTTGTCTTTCTGTGGCTGGCTTATTGCACCTTGCATAATGTCCTGTTCCGTTCATGTTGTCATGAATGAAACATTTTCTTCTTTCTGAAGGCTGTATAGTATTCCAATGTTTATATATACTACACTTTCCTTATCCATTTATTCGTTGATGGACACTTAGGTTGCTTTAATATCATAGTTACTGTGAATACTGCTGAAATGAACAAGGAAGTGCAGATATCTCTTCGACATATTGATTGCAGTGGATATATACTGAGTAGTGGTATTGCTGGGTCATATGGTATTTCTATTTTTCTCTTTTTGAGGAACCTTCACAGTATTTTGCACAATGGCTGTACTAGTTTACATTCCCACCAGCAATGCTCACAACATGACATTGTACCCCATAAACTCACACTATTGTATTTTTCAATTAAAATTATTTTTTTTAAAGTAGTGATCTTTGCATGAGGAGCTTTGTGATCTGCTTTGCCACAGAGGTGAAGTCTTCCATAGGTTGCATGTATTGTTGCAATAATAGCAATAATAAGAAGAGAACAAAACAAAACTATCACTTACTGAGTAACTTATTGCTAGGCACTATGCTAAACACTTTATATACATTCTCCCTCTGTTTAATCTTCACAACAGTCTTGTGAGTTAATAAATATTTTCCCCATTTTACAGATAAGGGTCTGGATAGTTTAAATTAGAATTTTCACAAGTGATAATGAATAGTCACATTTTATTTTATTTTTATTTTTAAACTCAGAGACAGGGTCTTGCTATGTTGTCCAGATGGGTCTTGAACTCCTGACCACAGGTGATGTGCTCAGCTCCGTCTCCCAAAGTGCTAGGATTACAGGCATGAGCCACCCTGTCCCTGGCCAGTAGTGACATTTTAAACTGGATGATTCTTTGTTCTGTCCTGTTTAGCTAGAGAAGTATCATGTAATGGTTAAGAATATGAGCTCTGGGCTGGGTGCTGTGGCTCAAGCCTGTAACCTCAGCACTTTGGGAGGCTGAGGTGGGCAGATCACCTGAGGTCAGGAGTTTGAGACCAGCCTGACCAACACGGAGAAACCCCATCTCTATGCCTGTAATCCCAGCTACTCGGGAGGCTGAGGCAGGAGAATCGCTTGAACCTGGGAGGCGAAGGTTGCAAGGTTGCAGTGAGCCGAGATCGCACCATGGCACTCCAGCCTGGGTAACAGGAGCAAAACTCCATCTCAAAAAAATAAATAAATAAATAAAAGAGAATATGAGCTCTGAAGCTTAGAGTAAGGTTTCTGCTCCAGGTCTATTACCCTTACCTATATGAGTTTTCCCTTGTTACATAATCTCTGCATATGTCTAATGTGGGTATAATAACAGTAACCAGATGGGGCTGTGTTTGAAGACTGGATGAGTTGATATTTATGAAGTTTCTGGTTCATAATATGCATTACATGTTGATTTTTATGTTTATTATTGTATATGAATATTTTACAAGCCTTATTGTGATTTTGATAAAAATAAATTCATGCCTTTTTGTCATTCAGTAATATTGTATGTGCTTCCTCATACAGTAATATTGTATGTGCTTCCTCATACAGTATTCACACTTTATTGGTTAAATTTATTACTATGCACTTTTTTTTTTTTTTTTTTTTTGAGACAGTTTCACTCCGTCTCCCAGGCTGGAGTGCAGTGGCGCAATCTCGGCTCACTGCAAGCTCCGCCTCCCGGGTTCACGCCATTCTCCTGCCTCAGCCTCCCAGGTAGCTGGGACTACAGGCGCCCACCACCACGCCCGGCTAATTTTTTGTAATTTTAGTAGAGATGGGGTTTCACCGTGTTAGCCAGGATGGTCTCGATCTCCTGAACTCGTGATCTACCCGCCTTGGCCTCCCAAACTGCTGGGATTACAGGCCACTTTTTAAATTTCACTATGAAAGACATTTTTATCCCTGATATTCAGGTTTTGTTTTTCTCTGTCTTAAAGAAAAATTTTTGATATTTGTATATTGGTCCTAAATTCAGTCCCTTTACTGAATTCCCTTATTAGTTCCAGATAGATTATAAAAGCCAGCAGTTTTGGAATCATTTTTGACCCCTGTCATTCTCTCATACCCCACACTAAGTTCTGTCAAATCTACCTTAAAAGTATATCCACATTGGCAGCCAGGCACGGTGGCTCAAGCCTATAATCCCAGCACTTTGGGAGCCAAGGCAGGGGGATCAGTTGAGGCCGGGAGCTCAAGACCAGCCTGGCCAACATAGAGAAACCCCGTCTCTACTAAAAATACAAAAAATTAGCCAGGCCATGGTGGTGCACACCTGTAATCCCGGCTACGCCAGAGGCTGAGGAACCGGAATCGCTTGAAGCCAGGAGGCAGAGATTGCAGTGAGCCAAGATCATACCACTGCACTCCAGCCTGGGCTACAGAGCAAGACCCTGTCTCGAAAAGATAAAATAAAATAAATATACGTAGAGAGTGGTGGTTCACATCTGTAACCCCAGCATGTTGGGCGGCCGAGGTGGGAGTATCACTTGAGCCCAGGAGTTTGAAACCAGCCTGGGCAATATAGTGAGACCCTTATCTCTACAAAAAGTTAAAAAAAAAGAAAAAAAAATTCAGATGTGATGCCTCGCACCTGTAGTCCCAGCTGCTTGGGAGGCTGAGGTAGGAAGAATTGCTTAAGCCCAGGAGATCAAAGCTGCAGTGGGCTGTAATTGCACCACTGTACTCCAGCCTGTATGACAGAGTGAGACGGTTTCAAAAAAAATTGTATACTCACACTCTCTCACACACATTCACACACACACACACATACACACACACACACACACACACACATACAACAGGCAACATTCCTTGGGATGTCTCAACTTTCATACTATATATACTCCAAGCCATCTTGTCCCACTCCTGAATTATTGCCAGGCTCTTCTAGCCTCTGTGCTTACCCGACCACAATCTGTTCTCATGGGAATCTATTATTAACTAAGGATCGTTTGTTTCTTCTGTATCTATTACAACTTTTTATCTTATTCTGTTACTAAAACAGCTAGAGCCTTTTTCCAAAATATTGGAAACTAATGGTGAGAATGGCCAGCCCTATCCTTGTTCTAACTTTAATGAGAATTACCTTTAATTTGATCCAATATACTGCCTCTAGTTTCTGTTGAATAATGTTTTACCTTGATTTGAAATTTTATGCTATTCACAGTTTACCCAGTTTTTATCTAAGTTGTTGATTTTATTATATTGTTTCAGTGTTTATGAGTATGATCATATATTTTTTTTCTCCTCTTACTATTCTGAAGGGTCATTCTTAGTTCATCTTCATATTCATGAACTAAAGCCATACTCAGTCATAAAGTATTACAGGCGTACCTTGGAGATATTGTTGGTTAGGTACCAGATCACTGCAATAAAGCAAATATCACAATACAATCACGTGAATATTTTGGTTTCTCAGTACTTATAAAACTGAAGTTCACACAATACTGTAGTCTATTAAGTATGCAGTAGCATTATATCAGAAATTTGAGTTCTCATCTTTTTGCTCACATCCTGCCTCAATGTGGTGGCTGCTGACTGATCATGGTGGTGCTTATTGAAGGTTTGAGTGGCTGTGGCAGTTTATTAAAATAAGACAACAATGAACTTTGACATGTTGATTGATTCTTACTTCCATGAAATATTTCTCTGTAGCATTAAGTGCTATTTGCTAGCCTTTTACCCACAGTAGAACTTCTTTTGCAATTGTAGGTCAGTTCTCTCAGACCCTGCTGCTGCTCTATCAACTAAGTTTATGGAATATTATAAATCCCTTGTTGTCATTTCAACAGTGTTCATGGCATCTTCACCAGGAAAAATTTCAACCTTGAGAAACCATTTTGTTTGCCCATCCATAAGAAGCAACTCCTCATTCATTCAATGTTTATCATGAAATTGCAGCAATTCAGTTACCTGTTCAGGTTCCACTTCCAATTCTAGTTCTCTTGCTATTTCCACCACCTGTGCAGTTACTTCCTCCATCAAAGTCTTGAACCTGTCAGATTTATCCGTGAAGATTGGAACCAGTTTCTTCCAAACTCCTGTTAATGTTGATATGTTGACCTCCTCCCATGAATCATGAATATTGTTAATGGCATCAAGAATGGTGAATCCTTTCCAGAAGATTTTCAGTTTACTCTGCCCAGATTCACCAGAGGAATTACTATCCATGGCAGCTATTACCTTGTGAAATATGTTTCTTACATAATAAGACTTAAAACTCAGAATTACTCCTTGGCCCATGGACTGCAGAATAGATATTGAGTTAGCAGGCATGAAAACATAAATCTCCTTGTATGTAAATCTCCTTATACGTACATCTTCATCAGAGCTCTTGGGTGACCAGGTGGATTGCAAATGAGCAGTAATATTTTGAAAGAATCTTTTTTTCTGAGCAGTAGTACGTTTAAAATATTTAGTAAACCATGCTGTAAACAAATGTGCCATCATCCAGGCTTTGTTGTTCCATTGATACAGCATAGGCAGAGTAGACTGAGCATAATTCTTAAGAGCCCTAGCATTTTTGGAATGGTAAATGAGCATTAGCTTCAACGTAAAGTCACCAGATGCATTAGCCCCTAACAAGGGAGTCAGCCTGTCCTTTGAAACTTTGAAGCCAGGCATTGACTTTTCTTCTCTAGCTATCAAATTACTAGATGTCATCTTCTTCCAATAGAAGACTGTTTGATCTACACTGAAAATCTGGTGTTTTTTTTAGCATATCCACCTTTATCAATTATCTTAGTTGATCTTCTGGATAACCTGCTGCAGCTTCTCCATCAGTACTTGCTGCTTCACCTTGCACTTTTATGTTATGAAAATGGCTTCCTTCATTCAACCTCATGAAGCAACCTCTGTTAGCTTCCAACTTTTCTTCTGTAGCTTCCTTACCCTTCTTAACCTTCATAGAATTAAAGAGAGTTAGGACCTTGCTCTGGACTAGGCTTTGGCTTAGGAATGCTGTGGCACATTTTTTTAATTTGAGCAATTATTTCAAACTTTTTCATTATTATGTGGCAAGGTCCTCTCCCTCTCCTTGAGCCTCCTTATTCCCTGAGATACAAGAATATTGGAACAAGGCCAATTAACGCTAAAATGGCCTCTAAGAGTTCAAGTGAAAGAGTCACTGTCTCTCACTTTAAATCAAAAGCTAGAAAGAGTGGGCCAGGTGCGGTGGCTCAAGCCTGTAATCCCAGCACTTTGGGAGGCCCAGGCGGGCGGATCACGAGGTCAGGAGATCGAGACCATCCTGGCTAACACAGTGAAACCCCGTCTCTATTAAAAATACAAAAAATTAGCCTGGTAGTCCCAGCTACTCGGGAGGCTGAGGCAGGAGAATGGCGTGAACCCAGGAGGCGGAGCTTGCAGTGAGCCAAGATCGCGCCACTGCACTCCAGCCTGGGCGACAGAGCGAGACTCCGTCTCAAAAAAAAAAAAAAAAAAAAAACAGCTAGAAAGAATGACACTTAGTGAGGAAGGCATGTTGCACCAGTTAGACAAGTTGTGACTGCAAAAGAAAAGTAGTTGAAGGAAGTGATGAGCACAACTCCGGTGAAGACACTAAATGATATGAAGGCAAAACAGCTCCATTGCTGAGTTAACACAAAATGTGACCCAGGAACACAAAGTGAGCACATGCTGTCAGAAAAAAATGGTTCCAATAGACTTGCTTTTCACACAGGGTTGCCATAAATTTTCAATTGTAAAAAACGCGGTATCTGTGAAGAGCAAGAAAATGCATTGAGTGTATATCTTTTAATCAAATTATATTTGATTACAATTTACTTGGGAATTTTTGCATTTTATTCTATTTAAGAGTGAAATTAGCTTAATTTTTAGTATCTAGTATTGCCATTTCAAAGAACTTTGATACAAGATTTAGCCTAGAATTTTTTTTTTTTTTTAAGACGGAGTATTGCTCTTGTCTCCGAGGCTGAAGTGCGTTGGCGTGATCTTGGCTCACTGCAACCTCCACCTCCTGGGTTCAAGCAATTCTCCTGCCTCAGCCTCCTGAGTAGCTGGGATTACAGGCATCCGCCACCACGCCAGGCTAATTTTTGTACTTTTAGTAGAGATGGGGTTTCACCATGTAGGCCAGGCTGGTCTTGAACTCCTGACCTCAGGTGATCTGCCCACCTTGGCCTCCCAAAGTGCCGGGATTACAGGCATGAGCCACCACGCCCAGCCCTAGCCTAGCATTTTAAAATTTAATGGGGAGGATAGCTGCGCTGGTCAAATTAAAAATTGTTCATATAAAATTGGAATGATATGTTCTTTTAGAGTTAAATAGAACTCTCCTATGAAACTCCATGTTACTGCATCTTTTTTCTTAAAAGAGAGAGGGAGACAGGGTCTTTCCATGTTGCCCAAGCTAGTCATGCTCTCCTGACCTCCCAAGTAATCCTTGACAGTCCTTTTCATTTCTTCTAGAGTTATTAGTATCTTAACTTTTTCTACTTTTCCAGTAAATATTGATACTTTGCATTTTCTTAGTCATCCATTTTATCTAATTTTTCAGGTTTAATTAGCATAAAGTTACATAAAATATACTTATACTTTTAAAATATAGTCTTACTTGTGATTATATCTTCTTCCTCATTGCTAATTTTGTAAATTCTCGATTTATTCTCTCTCTAACCCCTTGTTGAGAATCAGCTTTTTGTTTTAATTCTGAATTTTAACTTTAATTTTGATTATATCTCTTACAGCTTTTGTCTTTATTAATTTTCACCTGATATTTTGTTTTGATTTGCTTAATTTTTCTAGCTTTGTAAGTTGACCTCATGGTTTATATATTTGTAGTTTTTTTTTAGTAATAACATGATTTTAAATGAGTAGTTTCTCACCACATAACATTTGTAAGCATTTCTCACAAGTAGAACTCTTCATGGTTTCATGAGAATTACCCATTCATGTGTTGTGAGTCCTGTGAAGCATGCCTATTGGTTTTACTTACACATTTCCAAGTAGGGTTAAAACTCTTCATAAAGAATTTAGAGTGGCTGTTAATAAATATTACCAAATTAATTAAAATAAATCTCTATAAAATTTATAGGCCTAAATTACCACATTGACTATTCAGTTTTATCTGTATGGCCCTAATATTTCTCCAGTCGCTGAAAAAGACCTTTTGGCCAATCTGAATAGAGATACAGAAATTCTCTGCAGTTAGGCCTTAAAATAAAGCAGATATAATTATATAGGCATATTTTAAATATAATAAGCAATGTGGCTTAGCACTTAAGAGCATGGGCTCTAAGGTTTGACTCGTGAGAATGAAGCCTTCGCTTTGCAGTTAGTTGCTGGTGTGACCTTGTTCAAGTTACTTATCTTTTCTATATTTTGTAACTAATAGACTGGATGGAGGAAAAGTGTTAATTTTTATGATTGTTGTGAGGATTAAATGAGTTACTATATAAAAAGTACCTAAGAAAAAACAGTGTCTGTCACATAGGAATCACTTAGTAAATGTAATTATTATTATTTTTTGAATTATTTTTATTATAATTTAAAGCATAGATAAACAATTTGCTGTTGAAGTGGTAATCTAATACTTCTATTTTTGTGTACCAGTTGCATTCTGCTAAACTAAAGCATAAGCCAATACACACTGTAGAATGTTTGTCATCTTCTTAATTTTATTACCTTTCTCAACAAGCTTAGACTCCAGTTGACATTTGCAGGGCTAGGCCTTTTTAAAATCCACATTCATTTGTTGGCAGGGTTTCTTTCACACTACTGACAGGTTTGATAATTCATAGGGTAGATTTAATTGACAGGGTTTTAGTTAGCATGAACTAGAAACAGCCTGTTTTGCAGGCTTGGTTTATTTTTGCTGAAAGAAGCTGAGTGTCTGACAATTATGTTTACTAATGAATTCATTTCTTTGGTATACTCCTTAAAATTCTCAGGAGTAAGAAAGACGTCCTCATGGCCTCACAGTTTTCTAATTCCCACATGAGAACGAAAATTTTGTCTACAACACCAGACTTGTTTGTTAAACATAAAAGAACGTAAATCCTCCACAGGTCCCCAGGGGTGTGTTAGAGAAAGGGAGTGATCATTATAAACCACTTAGCCCTGTATGCTCTGTATCATGTTGCCATGAGAAAGTGATGTTTGATTGGCTCATAAAATAGGTTTAGTAAATCCTTTAAATACTGACGTGGCCAATTGTGCACATTGGAAATTAATACCTGAGAGTGTATTATAAGGATTACCATGTCTCCAGAGCAGTCACCTGGGCATGTGTAGATTTCTGAATTTAAGGATGACTGTGTTTTGTGATTTCACTTTTATGTGTCAATATTGCTTAGTTTTATCATCCTCTTTTCATTTGGCTATGGCCCACAGATACATTTTTCATCATTGTTTTCTCTCTTCATTCTCTTCTTGATGTTTGGGCTATGTTAGCATATATCAGCCAACCAACCTTTGCTGTGAATCCCATATTCTGCAAATGGTGTTGTGTCAGAAAATAAGAAAAATATCAAGTTGTTAAAGCAGACGACCTGATTTAATGCATTATTCTTTTTCTATCCTCACTATGCATTCCCAAACCAGTTGAAAGGAAATATGGAATGAAGTGACAACGGGGTGTGTGTGTGTGTGTGTGTGTGTGTGTGTGTGTGTGTGTGTGTAAAAAATTATTTCATTAATAACTTTAAATTCCATAGATGTCTTAATAGTTATTGTGTGTGACGATAAAAATTAATGGTAGAATAATTGCATGAATTTGGAATTATATATTTTTGTATGACACGAGTTCTGAGAAAATCTTGAAATGCCTAATTTATTATGAAACTATTAGTAGCATATGCTAAGTTCTACTGTTTTATAGACAACACAGTACCTTATTAGATGTTTGTTTCACTTAAACTTTATGGAGAACAAAACTATATAGATTTTTCAAAGCACTGTCATAAATATATGCACTAGACTTGCATGAGCATGTAAGAATTAGTTGCCAGCTGTCTCGCTGCAAATCCAGAAATTTTCATAAGGATTATTTTCCAAATGGCATCAAATTCAGTTGGAAATCTTCATGAAATAAGTAATAATATGCTCATCACCCTTCTCCTATTTACAGGACAGTGGATTTTGTATCGACATAAATCAGAGAAGGCAAAAGTTAAGATATTTTTGTTTCTTAATAAAGTGTTAACATTTTAATCTAGATATTTTTGTGTCGTTAAAGCCCTTTTTAAAATACTTTTAAAGAAGTTACAGATCATATAACATATGAGGTAGTTTATTTTTAAACAGAAATAAAAAGAAAATAATATATAGTAAAGTAGCTATTTGAGTTGTTAATTTTAGACTTCCTGAAGAGAATATTCTTTTCTCTTTAGGATGCTTTTTTTATTAGGAAGATTAAAATGGTTATTTTGAAAAATGGTCTCAAGAAAATTTTGTACACAATGTGTTCTGCTGAAGCAGTGTATTGAAATGACTTCATCCTGGCCAAATCCAATGATACTTTTTAGTTTTCACCTCTTTGATCTTTCTTTGGCACTTGGCATTATTGACCACTCCTGCTTCAGGTGAAATTCTCTCTTCTCTGTTACCTTAACGTCTGCACCTTCCCTCACAGTGGCTTCCCTCTTATTTCCCTGACTGCTCCTTCTCAGGATGCTTTTGTTAAAGGATCTTTTCTATTGACCCACACTTGAAATGTTACTGTTTCCTCGAATTCCTCGAACATGTGGTGATTACCTGTCTGTGTTACTCCCCTCTATGAAGCCTCCAGCGGCTCTGCCTCTTAAGTGCAAGGGTGGCCAACTCAGATGCCAAAGAGCAAATATAAGTAAATGAAGATAATCTGGATTTTTTTTTTAAATCATAGAAAGTAGATAGAGATTTTTAAAAACTAGAAAGAGCATGCCTCATGTGAAGCATTTTTCATTTAGTCCCAGCCTCAGTTGCTATGAAGGCCAAGTATTCATTCCTTCACTCACCAAATACTGACACAGCGTTTACTATGTGCCTGGGGTGTAGGTGCTCAGGATAAGACAGTAAAGTAAGCAAAGATATCTCCTTTGCTGGAGCTGACACGAATTCTGGAGATGAGCCCTCGTGGAGTCA
The DNA here is from genome assembly GCF_000001405.40 of Homo sapiens. Classification (NCBI taxonomy): domain Eukaryota; kingdom Metazoa; phylum Chordata; class Mammalia; order Primates; family Hominidae; genus Homo; species Homo sapiens. The sequence goes on along the minus strand of NC_000004.12, from coordinate 156,813,879 downwards.
CCCAAAGCTAATGATATTTATTATTACCAGATCTTCAATTTTTTAAAAGCCGAACATCCAGGTTTTCTATGAAATTCCATTTTTTAAAACGTTGACAAATTTTTTAAAGAGACATCGAGCCCATTGGAATGTGCCTACATGTTTTCAACATTGGCCTACCAAATAATCCAATGTCTTATTACCATGCAATACCAAGACCTCACCTGCATCTATTTGTCCACCATGATCTCCATCTGATTTTTGTTTCCCACCCTCAGTTCACAATGGACCATGCTTAGCGCTTTCTTTCTTCTTTACATCTTATGTATTGTACTTCTTGCTAGAATGCATTTTCATCCCCCACCCCTTTCACCCCTTGTCAGTCAATACTCTGAAAGCCCAAGTGTCAAGTCCTTTGTAAGCTGACCTTCATCTCACTGTATAAAATTACACTCTTTCTTCTACTATTCCACAGTATTTCTTACATACTCTAATTAGAGCACTTACCAATGTGTTTTATGGACCCAGAACCCAAAAAAAGCTTTAGTTATGTGTTTGTATCCTGAGAATCTAGCAGAGCAGTTTGCGCCAAATCAGTGTTTCATAAATCCCTGTCGAATGAGTGGTGGTAACCTGCATCACACAGGCTCACCTCCCAAGCACAGAACAAACAGATCCTTATGAATAGAAACTTTGTTTCATGTGTAGACAACCCTGATGTAAAAATTACCATTCGATAAAAATGATGATTATCAACGTTTCTGCCAAATAGATCTGAAATATCTACTTAGGTCTGCTATACCCACCATCCCCGAACCACACACATACACTGCCTAACCCTTCCACATCCCGCACACACATACACTAAAACTCCTGGAATGGTTATACTGGCTGGCTTATGTATATGTAACTTATAACCCTGGACTTCTCATGTGATATAGCAAAATCATATCTCCTCTTTGTCTTTGTGTTTTCTTATTTACTGCTTTTAAGCTTCCAAGGTTATGTTAAAAAGTAGGTGTGCAGAGGTTGGAGGGGTGCAGGACAGAGATGGGAGACAAACTTTCTTGAGTGGCAGCTCTGTGCAAACAATGTTTTAGGTGCTGCACATGTGCTGTCCCATTTTTCCTTTCTTCAAATGTCTCTGAGTTAGGTAGCATTATTCCCAGTTTACCAGTGAGGAAAATGAAGCTGAAGTAGTTTAAGTTCCATGCCTTAAGAGAGTTTTGGATACTTCAGATTTATAAGTATAATTGTTTCATTATACACTTTGTCTTTTTTCAGCAACTTTTTCTTTCATATGTTTAATGTTACGTAAAATGTAGTATTTTTGGTAGTCTGGTATCTACTGAATTTAAAATTTTGAAAAAAATCTATCAGTGGTTTACAACCATGTCAGACTTCGTTTTAACAAAAGTTTTGCAATGCCCTGCTTAGTATTCTGAAATGCAATTCATAGAAGCAGTTATCTGTTTACATGTGAAATTGTTTTAAAAATAAATATATTGTCTGCATGTTATATAAATCTATTAAAATAGCAAAGTAATTTATATTAAAATAATCTGTTTCAATATATAAATGAACAGTAACAATTACCCTAGAAAAATAAAGGGAAAATGTTAGCATCTTTTAAGTCGACTCATTGCGAATGTAACAGCTATAAATATAGACTAATAAGAATATGTTTGTTTTAGTTGGGATGAAAATGGTATATCTAGTATTCCTGTTAGTGACATGTTTTTCCAAGTGAGTAACTCTTGGTTAAGTTTAAAACAAAACACAGAAAATTCCCTCAATTTACTCTATAGTTGACGTTATTTAAAATTTATCTTAACTAAAACAGTGCAAAACATATATGCGTTTATACATGAGATGATGTAAGATGATGTTTATAGTTAGATGAACTGTAGTAGAATTTGCACCTGCATGAAATGTCCAGTGAAATATTTGAAAGGCATGGAGGACATGGGGCAAATACTCATTTTCAGAACTTTCCATTGTTGGGCATTCGTGGACCTTGCCTGCTACATTTCAATCACTCCCTTCTCACCCCCAATTATTGAGACAACCTAAAATGTTCCCACAGATTTGTGAAACAGTCTGTCATGGGGCAATAATGGTCTCAGTGAACACCACTGATCCAAACCTTCCAAACCAAAAGTTGACATGTGTTTAAAACAATCATTTATTCCTCTGTTTAAGATACTGTGTATAGTGAAATGTAAAATAGAAATATGTACGAACTGGTTCCTTTCTTCAAGGATTAACAGCCTAAGAAGATGGATCACTTATACACATATATGGTTAGTTAGAAATATGTGTTTATCAAAACGAGAAAGATGACAGTGAGCTGAGAACACCCAGGAAGGTCACAGAAAGGAAGAACAGTACCAAGTGAAGTGCGAAAGATGCGTATACAATGAAGTGACTCTAGGAAAGCTTGCATCACAGATGAGGAAAGAGCCAAGGCCCCTGGCCAGGATGAAAGAGTTACTCTCAGAAAATAAAGGGCAGTAATAATAGGAATTAAGAGTGGAGTCACACTGTCATGTCCAAATGAAAATTATATTCAATAATTCATGAATCGAATGTCAGATAGGGTTGCTCCTTACAAAATGTTTAAGTTTTAGGATGGTTATTTAATGAATTTGGAATTCGTAAACAGAAAAACTAAGGACTCCAAAGAGACTCATAGTTCTTCAACTGGGCCCTCATTTTCAGTTGTGTCTCTTCTTTAGAATTCTTAATTATATGTTCCCGGTTAAATTTTGGATTAACTCACTGCTGTGGTCCGTAGAGTCATAGCACCCACAGACATGAAACTTGTAATTGCCAGAATAACAGATTATGAAATGATGTCTCTTTCCCTTTGTCTTTTTGCAGGTATGATTTTGTAGAAGTTGAGGAACCCAGTGATGGAACTATATTAGGGCGCTGGTGTGGTTCTGGTACTGTACCAGGAAAACAGATTTCTAAAGGAAATCAAATTAGGATAAGATTTGTATCTGATGAATATTTTCCTTCTGAACCAGGGTTCTGCATCCACTACAACATTGTCATGCCAGTAAGTACCACTTTCAGATCCCCTTATTTAATTGGATCAGCTTTTTGTTTCTTTTTATTTTTCTCCTCTTACACATGAGAATCAGAAAAAAAATCAGAAAACAAACCTAGCTGGGATTTCATTTTTATGTAAATAAAAACTCTTACATGCCAAGCCAGCAATTCATTAGGCAAATTAGAAAATATGAAATCAGTATTTACCATTTTATATCATATTCATGTGTATTGTTAAGCAGAAATTTCCCTGTTTGATTGCTCAGGAGTCTATGAAATATTATCTAGACAACTGATTAAATAAAGGAAATTTAAGTATTGGTTAAGGGTATAGCTAAAAAGAAGCAATACAATGCAAACTGAATTTTGAAAATGACAATTTATTCATTTAGTAATAATAGAATCATTTATCATGTATGATTGAAGTTAAAGGAGAAATCTCTGAAGTATGTTATAAATGTTATAAATTGTGTATGTTATAAATTGTGAATTTTGATCAGTTTTATTATGTAGCTTATTTAAGATATCCCAAACTCTACTCCATTCTGAAATACTTTTTGCCAGTATATATTCTGTTCCATTTTCTTTGTTCCTTTCCAAAACTTTTTAAAGTTTAATATAATACTTTAATATTTTTAAATTTATTTAATAAAATGTAACAATTCTACCTGTAAATGAAAAATGTTAATGATAGACAAAGATGTACATTTTTATTAATAGGCAATAGTTTAATACTGATTATTTGCTTGATTAAAGCCACTAAGAATCTGTTTAGTATACTTTTACAGTATCTTGTTTCACAGAACTTAGTGAGTTTAATATTTTTTAGGCTAGGGTGGCGTTGAGGGCCATGGATACACTTTCACAAAGTGAAATATTTCTCAAATATTTAAATATGGGATATATTAATTGTAGTAAAAAACATACTAGCAGGTCTTTGTGAGAGCAAAGGTTTTATTCATCCCAAACATGTGACAAAATAAACTTTAAATTAAGGATATTATTTATATTTTAAATGAACTTCTGTCTATATTATATTAATTTAAATGTGTATAAATAGCAATCTACTGTCCTCCTATAGAATAAAACACAAAAGCTAACGTATAAATATCACTACTGAAGGTTTTTTTTTCTGATTTTGTGACTACATAGATTATCTGGTTGTATAACCCAAGGAGTTATATGGATTAAATCAAATATGTAATGATAAAAGCATACTATATGTATGTATTACACATATACATAGTAGACATAGTATATGTATGGTATTTATAGCAGCTAGCTCAGTTCTGAGCACATAATAGTCTCTCAATAAATACTTGAATGCTGAGTTGATCATGCAATTCAGTCACCCAGCTTAACTAATACAGGATTCACTGTATATGTGTGAAAGTTGTCAGATTCATAAGACTTGTGATGAAGTAAGAACCCAAAGGTTGATTGAAAGTGCCATCCATCCTCTTGGCTAAGAAAAGTCCTGTCACCAGGGTTGACCTATTATCAGAGATTTACTGTGACTGAGACCAGACACCACATCTGGGAGACTTTAGGCCAAATGTATGTCATTGGTTCCATTATTGAAATTAAATTGACCACATTTTTAAATGATTGTTTAATCATTTAACAATGATTGGTAAATTGTCAATATGGACTTCAATGGGCTATTGTCAACTCTCCTGGACTCTATTGAGCCAGGCTTTGTGTGGCAACTACATTGACCTATTCTGGGCTGTAGATAATGGAGACATGTGGGGAGTAAAGGCATAGGAGTTCTTGTAATTAAACTATGTTTAGGAAAACAATAGGCTTTTGGACTGGAAGAAACAGGAGAGAATGAAGGTAGTGTCCTACATTGCCTAATAAGTGTAAGTTGGTGATTTTCATTTTTAAGATTGCTTTCTGGAGAAATTATATGAATTTTACAATCTCACAAGCTTTGTTTTTTCTGTGTTTAAATTTACGTTGACAATTAACCTGCCATTTCTTCAGCCGTCCTTTGTCTTGGTTCCATATATCCATTCATCTCTCTACTTACAGCCACATTCATTCTACTCTTAATAAACTGTCTGCAGAAGGGTGAGATCTGATGAGTTAGAATTTGACAAGTGGTTATGCTGTTAAGCCTTGCAGAATGTTTTGAATTATCATTGTGTACTCCTAAATTACACCCCTCCCTCCATGCACCCCCTCCACCCCCCACACTTTGCTAACAGGGTGCAATCCATCAATCTTATCTGTGTAACAGATTAATGAAAGCCTAAAGCAAGAAAGTGTGCCTCCTGGACAGCAGACTTAAAAGTTCTTGAGGCCTTTGCTCAGGGGCAAGGGTCCCTCCAAGCCCCTGGATCATCTCTGATGCTTTTATTTTTCTCTTTTTGCTCTGGATGAACTTCATGTCAGCACACTCTGTTCCCCAGAGGCAACGGTCTCATTGATTAGAAACCTACCTCTGCAAAATTCCACTTTAGATTCCACTGGCCACAATGATTTCTTTGTAATAGTAAAAATAATATTAACTACTAGTTTATAGTAGACAATTAACTTTCTGCATTGAGGTTTGTCAGGAGTGCCTAGCACAATGCCATTCACATTGTAGCTGCTCATTAAGATTTCATAGAAATTCAGCCATTTCATCTTAGAGTTGTCCAAAACCCACAGGGAGCTATACTACCTTCCTATTTATTATATGTCACCTTTGTTCCTCTCACACAACAGAGATAATTCATAAACCGGAACGCAGTAGACTCACAGGAATGACACCAGATATTCTGCTGTCCTAATATATTACGCTATATTACCAAAGACACATTCTTGCATTAGCTAAATAATTGCCCTGGTTTTCTTTTTAGGGGAGGCAGTGAGGAGTGGGAATTAGTGGGACATCCACTGAAGTTAAAGAATTGAGTGCATACTAATGATTTTATAAACATTAGTATATACAGTTAACATTATCTACTTTTCATAATCAACCCAATGAATATTTTGCATGCATTACTATACAGAAAAAATTTTAAGTGAGTTTAATCACATTTTTTTCTAGGACAAATTATGGGTTAAGTTTATTTTAAAATTCTTTATATTTCACAGGTAAAGAGATAACCCTGTAGCCTTCTTTGGGACTATAAATGGATATCGGGTTCTGGTCAACAGTTAAGACTCCTTGGTTCTGATTACCATGTGTCTTAGAGGCAGAGTTTTAATACATTAGTTAAAATTTTCAGAAACAGTTTTTGCCACACAAGTTGCCATTAAAAATTATGTTCTCCCTTGTAAGATGATTTACCCACTCTTTTTTTCCTCAGTTTATGAATAACAGAGCATATAGTTAAATAAGAGATGACTTGTTCATTTGAATAAAGTGATGCTGTTCTAATATTTAAAGATTTTACATATTTATTATAAATATCAGTACTTTCCTTTACAATATTGGGATTTCCATATCATTTTCTTGATTCACAGGTACCTTACAATAAGACATAATTAAAATTTCTCTCTCCATTTTTTCATTTGGTGTTATAAACTAAACCTAGTTTTAGAAATAACTTTAGCATATGTTATTTACTTGAGGTTATAGCTAGTTATAGCTTTTTAAAACAGTAGTACTAGAATTGCTACATAATTTTAAAATTACAGCATTTCAATGATATTTTAGAGAATTATTTATAGAAATATTATTCTCCAGTCATGCTCCATTAATAACTAATAAAAAATAAATTTCTGCAAATTGATGCCAAATGATACATACAGTGTTCAACTTTTATGATTGTGCCTAAGGAGTTAATGTCTTTGATTTTTTTCCCTTTCTGCTAAAAGAGAAAAAAAAAAAAGACCTGGTAGATTAGCAGTGAGAGATTGTTTGGGAAGAAATGAAGCAAAACTGAAATAAAACAGTGCAAGCTTGTTTCTGTTTGGAGGCCACACACGGTGAGAGCCCAGAACACATTTCAGATCTTTTAGAAAGAAAGGAAAATTTCTTGTTTAATTTTGGAGTAATTTATAATAGATTATATATGTTTTACTCTGTGTACTGTAGCATAAGCACCATTATTTAAAATGATAAGAAACCTAAAAAGGCTGAAATAATAACTTTTGCTCCAGAATCAAAAGACTTTATTAAAAGTTTTATTTCTCAGTTCTAAAAGTAAAAAGTACTGCATATTTTTTGGTCAGAAAACTGCTTCAATTAAACCATACCTATTTTTAAGTAAAATATACAAATCTAAATCTGAATTTTTAAAGTTATTTTAGTCTTATATTTAGAACTATTCTTCTTGAGTACAGTGCTATTTGTTGTTTTTTTAATGTCTGTGAGATTTGAAGATTTTCTTATTCTCCCTCCAATTTGGTTAACATTATGAAAAATGATTACCACTGATTTTTCTTAAATGGTTTTAATGAATATTATATTTTTCAGTCTCTTAGTCTAAGGTTTCTGATCCAAAGTAATGATAATGTTTACAATAATTTATTTACTTTTTTCCATTTAATGAGTATATCAGTTTATATTAAGAGAATTAGAAGTTATAGCCACCATACAAATTGAGTCAATGTATATTTACCCTCTTTTTCTTTGCCTGATAAGCTGGGCAGGGGGTGGATGAACTGAAGAGTACTTTAACTCACAACACTTCAGTGAACTTCATCTTCCTTTAAGTTGCCGCCTGATTTGTTCTATCACTTCTATGATTTTACATTTTAAAAAACTATGTATAATCAGTGATACTTGTTTGAATATACAAGTGAATCTTGTTTATTCTTGTTATTAAATTATATACAAAGATTAATAATATAGTATAGTATGTAAGTATTATAGCCACATTATAACCCCCACTGTGTGTTTTTCTTAATGGTGATTTTGTAAATGACTTATCCAGAGTTCAGACGGCGTACTGGCCAGCATGCCCTGTGGAAGGGTGTAGGGTTTCTGTGGGGAGGGGTTAGAAGGACACTTGATGCCTGAGGTGCTATTAAGGAATGCATGACTGATTGCCAAAGTGGTTATTAATTATGCAGGATATGGTGAACAAAGCAGCACAGTGAATATTGAAGTGAGAGGGGGAAAAGAGGAGGGAGGATATTTTTTTTCATCCCTTCTGACATATGCCAGTAGGTTATTTCACTGTTAATATCATGTCAAGAAAAGTCTTAACTGAAAGCCAAATTTGCTTTTATGTTCAGGTTAAGAAAAACTCCAACCAACTCTCAAACAAGGCTTCAAATATATTAATTCACTTTCTTTCCTAGGAAAAAAAGCAGCATGCCTGGAATAAAAATACTTAGAGCAATATAATAACACCAATCCTACAGGAAAAACATTAGTGGTGGGATGTACTCAAGATTTTTTAAAATGTTAAATTTTCATAACTTATTGCATTGCATTCCCCTATTGTTAAACCAATTCTAATAAGTCGACATTTATTTGAAAACTTACTTAAAAATAGATTTGTATTTACCTCGAGAATTAAGAGAAAATTTGATGCTTAGAATTTTTTTGTATTTAGAGACTGGAAGAGGTATTTCAAGTACTATTTATCTACACTGTAGTCTGAAGCACTTGTTGAATGATTAGATTTTTATTAAAATATACAATATACTTGTATATTTATGCAAGGAGTCTTGAGATGACAGTATTTTATTGCAGCTAGGAAATTATATAATTGCTATAGAGACTAAACTCTTACTTGGCTAAGAATTGCTTAATATATTTTTCAATTCCACTTCTCCATGGGCACAATGCTCTCTTTCATATGACGATCATGGTGTCTCTGTTTCATTTCTACTGATTCCTTTTGTTCCAATTAATTTCTTGCTAAGAAAAAATTTCACAGATGCTATGATTTGTAGTTAGAAAGAAAAACGCAATTAGCACTATGTAGGAATGGTAAATGGCAGACAGATTATTGTAAGTCATTTTATAAGAGTGTTGTAAATAAAATCGTAGATTAATTGAAACCTTGAGGTTTGATTGATTCATATTTTATAGCTAAAGCCACAAAGATTTAAAAGCTTGGAGTTAAAATGGCAACCTCACAACTCTTTCCATCTAAACCTGATGGAAGGAGTTGTTTTCTAGAAATAAATATGGTGCAAGTTAAAATTATAAATTAAATAGTTTTTCTTCAATATTCCTACCCATTCAATACCCTAAATCCCTTAATTATCAGATATTTGTTGAGAAGATTCAAAGATGTATATAATATCTCCCTTGGTCTCTGATAACTTATCTCGTTTTGGAGGAAAAAAATACCTATAAAAATGCAGTATGTGAGTGTCATGTTGAGTGGTTTGGAAAGATTTTGAGAAGGAAGATGGGAATGTGGAGAGCAGAGGGATGTCATAACCCTTAGATTAAAGAAAAAAATCAATAAGCAATCAAACAAAAAGTCCAGGAGCTATTCAGTATAAATTTTTTCTCAAATGTGTTATAAAAATCTCTCAAGAGCATATTAAAAATGCTTGTTACCAGATTAGTCAGAGATCCTCATTTTCTTGGTCTGGGGTGATACTCAATTATCTGTGTTTTCATCAGATATGCTTGGAGATTCAGTTGCTCTAAACTATAGTTTGATCAGAATACGATTACTTTTTTTTAACTTGCCAACATTAGCAGTTATTTATTTATTTGTTTATTTATTTATTTTTACAATTACTTTTATTTCAAGATTTTGGTGAATTTTTTTATATTCAAACAAATGAATTTTATATGAATAGATTAGAAACTCTGCACACATGTTTAATACATGTGTATTTTTCAGGGTTACAAAAAGAGTGGGACTTTCCCATAAAATTAGGTAGATATCTTTCAGTTTCTAGCACTTGTATTTATTGTACCAACTCTTCCAAGCATTATATTAAAGACTATCAATTTTGTCAACGGTCAGTGTCTGTTACCCACAGAACTATGAAAGATTGTCCTCTGCTGCCTTTTCTGTTCAACACTAAACTTGTTTGGTAATTCACAGATGACATAGTTCCAGCATTGAAGCACAGTTCTGGAATAGATATTCATTCATTCTACAATGTTAGATACTGTTAGTAAAATAAGACATTTCCAGTTGTCAAGAAATATTCTTTCATTTTCTATATACATTTTTTACATTTAATTTTAATTTTGTCAGTTAATTTTGCACCTGTTTCTAAATGGCAAATATTTCTCTTACATTTGTTACAAAAATAGCAGTTCATACCACTTTCCCCTTCCTAAATGATTTTTCTGCCCTTTGTAGGCAGGCACTTCCAATTTTTTGAAATAACTCTTTTGAATTTACCTCTACGACTCTATTTAACATGCTTTTATATCTACTTCTTCACTCTTTTACAAATTACCTATCGATTTCTCACTGGAAGATAAAGCCATCTTTCACTTTCTGTCACCCTCCTGCCTTTACCACACATACAGATATTTCCCAGCACCCCATCCTCTATTATATCTTGATTATATCAAATCCAAATTCATTGTGTACATTATGGTGGCTCTGTAGTCATTTTTCACAGCTGAGCCTTGAACTATATACCATGACTACATTTCCGTTTCTGTTCTTTTTATGTTTCCCTTAGAATTATTTTTTGGCTTGTTTAGCTTTTATATTCATCACTGATTCATCCTGAAACTGTTCCTCAGATTGTGTAAATCTCCTCTCAGTACACTCAGACACATTTGGTTTTCTAATAATTTCATCTTCTTCAAGAAATCTTTGCTGCAATCATCTGGCCTGCTCCAATGTGGACTGCTTGCCCTTTAGAATGGCTGCACAAACCGTCATCCTTGCAGTCTCCTTCTGCCATCATCCTGAGTATTCCTTTTGACGTTTTCTTGCATTAGATCCTCTGTTTGCTGGATCTTTTGTCTTCCTGTGTCTCAATTTACTTCCTTGTTTGCGAAGAGAGTAAAACTTCCATGAATATACTGAGAAAATGGAGCATCAGAGATAAAATTTTTGCAGCCTTGCATAACTTAAAATGCTCTAAGTATTAACCCTCAAACTTAAATGAATTCTGATTAAGTCTAGAATTTAAGCTGGCCACTTAAAAGTTGATTGGACATTCTGTGCCTGTGGATGGGCTTGCCCACTATTGTCTTCACTGTACTGCGTGCTGGCTTAGTCAGTTTCTTCAAAACACTCTGATTCCTCTCATCTCTTTTCTAAGAGTATAAATACTGGTTACCAATGTTCTGAACTAGGAGCTGAGTTGATTAACACTGAGATATTTGGCATTGTATATATCTAATATATATGTTTTGTGTATGTAAAATGTATATGTGTGTGTGTGTGTGTGTGTGTGTGTGTATGTGTGTGTATGTTTCTACTCTACCTTCTCCATACCCTCAACTCTGCTTGGGTTTTCCACAGAACGAATCTGAACTGTCTTCTGCCAAGAGGAAAGCAGATTTGGGGTATCTGGCAATTTCATTAACAGATTTTTAGTCATTCTTTTATTGTTCCTTTATGTATATTTAATTGCTTCTTGTCTATGCCCCTGCCAAATTTTGCAAAGCCCACCAATCCAATGACGACACATCCAACTCCTTTTTAGTTTTCAGAATTTTATTGCTGTTGACTCCTTTCTGACTTTCTTTGGCCTTAAGGGTGTAAGCCAAAAAGTATGTGAGACTGATCTCAATCAATTTAGAAGTTTATGTTGCCAAAGTTAACGATATACCCAGAAGAAAACAACACAGAATCATCAAAACAGTCTGTGGCCCATGCCTTTCTCCAACGATGAATTTGAGGGCTTCAGTATTTAAAGGGGAAAGGTGGGCTAGAGGGGAAAGAGGGAGTATATAGTAACCACATGTTGCAAGAAAAAAGGGGCAGGTAGGAAAATAGACAATTATGTATTTGTCTCGGGCTCACTAATTTGGCTTTTTGTGTAACATAAGGTGAACATAGAGTAGCTAGCTACCTGTGAAGATATTTAACCTTTTATCTGTCGCTGTCTACTTAGGAACAAAAGGAAAAGCAGTGTCTTGTATGACTGAGGTTTCAGCTTAATTTTTTGCTTTTAGCATAATGAATTGGGGTTCTGAGTTTTTATTTTCCTTTCACAAGTGATTATGCATTTTACAGACACCTTTAGAATTAATAATTTCAGGAGAGAACAGAGCCACAATTACCATTTTTGCATTCTTTCTTTATTAGTGGAATTCATATATTGATGTGCATATTAAAGATTGACTTTATATTTGATTAATAAAATATTCAAAACACTGCAGAAGTATATTAAGGACATAGTATGTGCCAAGTGCCATGCTCTATAAATGGCTTCCAAGGAAGAACTCTCCATTTCCCTCCCATGCCAGATAAAATAACCCCTAGTAGGAGACGCTTTGCATGATTATCCTAATATTGTGTTTACTTTTTATATGCAAGAAAGGCATATGTAGAGGTTGGTACTGTCACCCTCCAGGGGGCTCTTTTTGTCAAGTGCCCAGATACAGCTGATTTATCAAGACAGGGGAATTGCAATGGAGATAGAGTTTAATGCACATAGAGCCAGCTAAACAGGAGGCTGGAGCTTTATTATTACTCAAATCAGCCTCCCCAAAATTCAGAGGCTAGGGTTTTTCAAGGATAGTTTGGCAGGCAAGGGAATGGGTGCTGCTGACTGGCTATGGATGCAGTCATAGGGGCATGGAAATCGGTCCTTTTACCCTGACTCTGCTTCTGGGTGGGGGCCACAGGACCTGTTAAGAGTCTGAGTGGAGCTATTGGTCATCAGAAATGCAAACGTCTGGAAGGACATCCAAAAGACCAATCTTAAGTTCTACAATAGTGATGCTATCTGCAAGAGTAACTGGGGAAGTTGCAAATATTTTGACCTTGGGAATAATGGCTCATAATCCTTTACTTCTACACCTTAACAAAGTTCAGGCTTCTCTCATCCTCCTAACCTCATAGTGTTTCATTCATTTTACAGTGACAGTTGAGTTTGGGGAAAGGTGTATTAAAACTTAAGCTGTAAACTAAATTTCTCCCAAAGTTAGCTTTGTCTAGGAATGACTAAGGGCAGTTTGGAAGTTAAAGGCAAGATGAGGGTTGATTAAATCAGAGCCCTTTCACTGTCATAATCTTCTCACAGTTACAATTTTTGTAGACAGTTTCAATATTGATGAGCTATTTAGCATGTCTTGAACTCTGTTATAACATTAATGTAATGTCTAGTTGTATCCACTAGGATGCCAACCCTGCTTCATTCATAATAACGTGGCAAGTGTCACCAAATGACTTACCATATGATCCACACATTTGAGAAAATGCTACTCTCATCAGTATTCTCATAAATAATCAACAATTTGCCTATTTTAGTAATGCTGTTAATATATTTAAATGCTTTGAACATTAAAACTAGAGCTTTTAAAATTTTACATATCTCTCTAATTCAGATGATATAATTGTATTTTTATTTACTTAATATTACTTTGAAATCACATGAATCTGATTTTGTATATAACTTTCCATTTTTATGTCCTCTGATAATCTTAGAACAAAGCTAAAAGATAAGTATGATTAGTGTTATATATTTCTAAAGATGTTAATTTTGAAAGGCTCATATATTTTAAGCTTTTGGAAAGAAAATGCTTAATTGTATCAATTTGAAAATACTTGAGTCAGGCAAAAGAGAATGAACATAGATTAAAATAAGTGTGCCTTATGGTGGTTTTAAAAAATATATT